>NT_187685.1:0-170148 GCF_000001405.40 Homo sapiens | reverse complement strand
GAATTCCCCATGAGTCCTGTGACCTCAGCCCACACGGGGACCTACAGGTGCTACGGCTCACTCAGCTCCGACCCCTACCTGCTGTCTCACCCCAGTGGCCCCGTGGAGCTCGTGGTCTCAGGTGAGGGCGCTGACCCTGTCCTCTCTGAGCTCAAAGGCTCAGCTCAGGCCCTGCCCCCAGCAGAGCTCTGGACACTAAGGAAAGAGGGGAGTGAAGGGAGAGGGTCCGCAGGGGAGGGTCCAGCCCATGGGAAGATGGAAATAGACAGGGACCTCCCACCCCTGGCTCCCACCCCTGAAGTCTCAGTAGAGTAAAGTGCAGGGAGGGCTGGGAGGAGACGGGGGGTGAACCTCAAAGGAGTTGAGATTAGACTGAGGGTGGAAGACGGAGGCCCCACCTGCTCCCATCCTGGTGTCTCCACCTCAGAATCAGAGCCTCTGTGTCCCAGTCCCCAACAGACGCCCTCCTGGAGAGAGAAGCATCCAGGCTGCCGGTGCCACCTGCATCCACCCCCGACCCCCCCCCACCCCGCCCCACTTCCTGCTTTCCCCTGCAGCCTCCCCAGCACTCAGCGCACACCTGAGCCTCACAGGGACTTGCACGTGCTCCCGCAGCAGCTCAGGGAATGTGCACCGCTCCTCTTCTGCGCCGTTGACATTTTTTATTTGGGTTTTTAAAATCTCATATTGGCCTTTTTGTCCAAGCTGGTGAAAGTAGATTTGCAGCATCACCTATTTTTATTCTCACCCGGTTTCGTAATAGCCCTGATCTCACGTGCTCCCTGAGGTTTTGTAAACTTCAGGTAGAAATGTGGACTTCCTTCGTTCTGGACATTTGCTATGGAGGGGGTAGGGCTTATCTTTTCAGAAAAAGTCAAATGACTGGTACCACTCCTTGAAACCCTACAGCACTTTCCAGACCTCAGAGGGAGGGAGAGAGAGGCAGAGACAGAGACAGAGAGACAGAGAGAGAGATATTGGGGCCGCTCTTTCCTGGCCGGTTCATCCTGGCCTATTCTCAATCCACCAAGGCCCCGAAGCTCATCTCCCCTCCTCCTCTGCCTCCTCCTCCACCCTGTAGACAAGCGGCCATTCCTTTCTGAAGAACAGGCTGAGACCTTTCTGGGACCTGCTCTTTCTGGAGCCTCTGTTGCTCCCTGTCTGGGTCTCCACACGCCTCCTTCCTGGCCCTTTTTCCTATTGAGGAATCAGCTTCAATGTCACCTCCAAGTGTGACCTTCACTGACGACACAGCTCAGCCCAGTCCTGCCTGCTTCTCATTTATGTCAAGTAATTAACCAACCTACACCATGCGGCTGAATTCCTTCTCTCTCTCTTCCACTCTCTGCATATACGTGTGTGTGTGTGTGTGCGCGTGTGTGGTCACACCAACATCTTACGTGACATTGAAACCTAGTTATCCGTATATCTATACAAATAATATATATTCACACATAAATATAGGTCTCTACCAATATATCTAAAACCATTGCTACGACTAGTAAATTTCCACTGCTGTGTTTCTATATGTTTGCTGTTTGTCTCCAGGTGAACCCACACTTCAAGAAGGCAGAGATAGTTTTTAAGGCCCACTATATATATAAAACAGATATATATTTGTGTTTGTGTTTTTCTGTGTGTGTATCACATTCTACCTGTTGCTGCCTATACGAATAATTAGCTACCTAGAGATTAAATGGACAATGAAACTCCAGGTGAAGTGGCTGAGGGCATGAAGGGGAGGCAGCCCCAGAATTTCACCCCTTTGTGCTTCTGACATTGAGGCTCCCCTGATGACTAACCCTCATCCACGGAGCCTGGGTCCTCAGCTGGTGGATCCGTGAAACTCTCATCTCCGGGGGAGTTGGCTCATGTTCTCCTGTGTCCCAGGCTGCACAGAGAGCACACAGGCCTTAGTGACCTCTGTACTGGGGACCACTTTCCTTGCAGATCCTGAGCTCTCAGGATGCAGGAAAACTCTCTCCCAGATGACTCAGGAGCAATGTTTAAATCCATAGAACACAGGAAAACTGAAATCGTTCAATGAGGAGACTAGAGGGAATCCTGCTAGCGGAGGAAGAGGTTTTTTTTTTTTTTTTTTAGAAATTCTGTAAAAGTCACATCATGAGACATTAAGTAATAAAAAAAAAATTGCAGAGCCCAGGTGAGAGGCTGGGCTCAGGTCTCTTTTTCTCTGTTTTGATTCTCTGGAGCAGCTGATACCCTCAGCCCATCACAAAACAAGTCTGACTCTGAGACTGGTATGTGAGGAGATACTCTCAGTGATGGGGCTGGCACTGAGGGTTGGGTCCTGTGAAGGGGAGGTGGGTGCCCTGGGTGGACAATCTGATCCACCCTGACCTCTGTGACCTCTTTGTCCACCATCCCCAGCCTCACACCTTCAGGATTACGCAGTGGAGAATCTCATCCACATGGGCGTGGCTGGCTTGATCCTGGTGGTCCTCGGGATTCTGTCATTTGAGGCTTGGCACAGCCAGAGAAGCTTCCCAAGATGCAGCCGGGAGGTGAACAGCAGAGAGGATAATGTACTTTATAGAGTCGTGAAGCCTCAGGAACAGATCTGATGATCCCAGGAGGTTCTGGAAGAAAATCTAGGGCCGATGCTATCTGGACTGTCTGCTGGTCATTTCCAGAGGAAGGAATCAATGTCCGAGTGCAGGGACATTTTCTGGGGTGATCCATGGAGAACCATTAAAATGTGATACCTTTCCTCTCCATTAATGTTGACTTTCCTTGGTTGGATCTGCCTCTTTTCCCACACTTAGACATGAGGCTCCATCCCACATGGCAGCGTTGGGTCCACACCTCTGCACACCTGCATGCTCTGGTCCATGGCGTGTCACACAGTCCTCTTCATTTCTCATTGCCACACTTCCTGGTGTACTTTACTGGGTCTTCATGTCTTCAGTTCAGAGTTCCGCACCTGGTTTAGGAACTAATTCAACGGGAGAAGATCAGAGTCCGACCAGGAAAAGATAAATGCACCGTGATGCCCTCACCTCCTGTGTGGACCCTATGAGCTCTTCCCTCCTTATCAGATGCTATCTGTGTAGTTTCTCCTGAAATATCACCACCTGGAATCAACACACTGGCATTTGAAGTCACGACCCAATGGTATGCTAATTCTGAAAAAGACATTTTTTGAAATGCTATGATTAGTGGCATTTACCAATTTCCTTGACGTAAATTCTTTTTTCATGGCCATAATCAAGATGCCAACGAGACATCCCTGAATGCAGGGTTGGGAAGCGTTGGACAGACTTGTCTTCACTCATAAGCACCAGGCATCTGATAGCTCACGTATACATCTTATTACCTTCCATTTTAGAGTGAATAATCATTTCTACTTCAGTATTTTGGCACAGGTAAAAGCAGTCCCATTACTGCGCGTATACCCAAAGGAATATAAATCATTCTATTGCAAAGATACATGCACACATGTGTTCATCGCAGCACTATTCACAATAGCAAAGACATAGAATCAACCCAAATGCCCATCAATGATAGACTGGATAAAGAAAATGTGAGACATATACACCACGGAATACTATGAAGCCATAAAAAGAAACAAGATCATGTCCTTTGCAGGGACATGGATGGAGCTGGAAACCATTATCCTCAGGAAACTAACACAGGAACAGGAAATCAAACGCTGCATGTTCTCACTTACAAGTGGGTGCTGAACAATGAGAATGCGTGAACACAGGGAGGGGAACAACACACACTGGGGCCTGTCGGGGGGGGGGTGGGGTAGGGGTAGGGAGAGCATTAGGAAAAATAGCTAATGTATGCTGGGCTTAATACCTAGGTGATGGGTTGACAGGTGCAGGAAACCACCATGGCGCACATTGACCTATGCAATAAGCCCACACATTCTGCACATGTACCCCGGAACTTAAAATAAAAATAAAAATTAAAATTAAATTATGACACCATGATCCTAGCATATCCAAAAAAGACAAAAATGCCAATATCAAATGTCGGAGAAAATAGGGCTGAATTAAAAATCCAATACAACGCCGGGCGCAGTGGCTCACGCCTGTAATCCCAGCACTTTGGGAGGCCAAGGTGGGTGGATCACTTGAAGTCAGGAGTTTGAGACCAGCCTGGCCAAACGTGGTGAAACCCTGCCTCTACTAAAAATACAAAAATTAGCCGGGTGTGGTGGCACTCGCCTGTAGTCCTAGCTACTAGGGAGGCTGAGGCAGGAGAATCACTTGAACCCGGGAGGCGGAGGTTGCAATGAGCTGAGATCATGCCACTGAACTCCAGCCTGGGTGACAGAGCGAGACTCCGTCTCAAAAAAAAAAACAAAAAAAAAAAACCCTCAAAAGCTCAGGCAGCAAAAGCAAAAATAGGCAAATGAGATCATAGCAAACTGCAAACCTTCTGCACAATCAAGGAAACAAACAGCAGAGTGAAGAGACCACCTACAGAATGGGAAAGAATATTTGCAAGCAAGAGATTAATCTCCAGAAAATACAAGGAGCTCAAACAATGCAGAGGTTTTGAAGGATGGTGATGAGAAGGTTCTGCTACTTACAGAAAGGAAGTTTAGGAGAAACAAAACCACAAACCTAGGTGGTGGGATGGCTTGATCTGCTTCTGTCTGTGACTCACTTAACAGTCTTAAACACATCTCCCTAAGCCTCCTTCCCCCGGTGGGATTCCTGGGTCTTGTGAGGACCTCATCGGTCCCTCTGGTAAACCCAGGCACAGAGTGGAGCAGCTCTTGTTTTCTCAGGATCTTCCCCTTCACATACAATTAACGCACCCACACGATGCTACTCTTAGAACCCTTCAAATAAATGTTTCCCGGTTCATTCACTACCAGAATCCAAGCTCAGCTTGTTCCCCAGCTTAGGACTGAGTGGTATCTTGGAGGTAGTTTCCACCATAGCCCCCTTCCTCTGCTATAAGGCTCAGTGACACACCAGAGACACCCCCTCCAGCCAGGCTCCTGGAAGGTCTGGATGAAGACTGGGATGCTGAGGCATTGCTCAGCAATGTGGCTTAACTCAAACTTCTATGTGAAACTTCCAACCACTTTCAGCAAGGGGTCACTTCCAGCGTCTTGGGGTGTGAGGGCACTTTGGTTGGTCCCTGCAATATCAGACCCTATAAAGATCCTACAAACATGTTGCAGACTCTTTGAAGATTCTGGCACTTTCAGACATGCTGTTGGGAAATGGTGACACCCATAACCTTCTAGTTCCAGGACAGGGAGCCTTAGCCCAGGGCTATGTTTTCTGAGGGTCCTCAAAGTAAACAGTTCTATGTGCCAGGAGAACCCTAAATCTCATATGGTTCTAAGGGCAGAAAGCCACACACGCACCGGCAAAAAGCAAGAGATTCAAGGAAAAGCTGAGCAAAGACAGACAGGAAAACACACACATGATGAGCCAGCTTGTAGAGCTAGAACTGAGATGGAGAGAGGCACGAGTGGGTAACAGAGTGTGCTCCCCAGAACAGGTGGAGAGAATGCCTTTTTCATGCCCTGAGGATAGGCTGGGTAAGGCTTGTGCTCGACAGTCAAGGACTATTTTTTTCCCCAGGCGTCTACAAGAGACCTTCCTTCTCAGCTCAACTGTGCCCTGCAGTAAGTAATGATGGAGAGAATGTGACTTTGCTCTGCAGCTCTGGAAGCTCATTTGACCTGTGCCTTCTAACGAGGAAGGTAAGGCCCCTGGACACTGGCTCACTGGGGTGCAGAGACAGAGTGGGGCATTCAGGCCAACTTCTCTCTGGGTCTTGGGGCTGGTGATGGGACCTCTAGATGCTGCAGCTCTCTGTCGATGGCTCTGCCTGTGAGTGATCAGCCCTAGATGACCACTGTTACTGGGGGTAGCCCATGCCTGCTGCATGCCCTGTGAAACACTAAATCATATAGCCACGTCTGAGGGACAGCCTGCTGGAGACATGGGAATCTTAGGGATTCCAGACAAAATGAAGCAATGAGAAACACAAAGAGGAAAAGAGAGGTTGAGTATGACAGTGGTGTCAGGGTGTAGGGTGGTAGACAGGGCAGCTCCACACTCTCCACTGCTTCCTGTCTGGAGGCCCACTTTGGGGTCCTACTTATCCAGGTGAGTGAAGGAAGAGGTCAGGACAAACACAGGAGGTGAAGCCAGATACAGTGTGGGGAGATAAGCAGTGGCCTCAGCCTCTAGCCCTTTTCCATCTTCCAGAAGCCCCTCCTGAGCTCTCATCACAGACAGATTTCCCATTTGGAAACCCAGATATTTATCATGCCGGGGGGGGGAGGCAATGTCTCTTGATTATGGGGACTTTCCATCACCAGGCACCTGCTAGTCCTCTCTATACCTTCCCTTCAGGAAAGGAATTGTCCCTCATGGGATTCCAGGGAAGAGACCCCAGGACCCCTATCAGTCACTAGGGAGATGACAGAGTAGAGGAAGTCAGGGGACCAACCCTCCACAGAGAATGGTCCTACTTCAGTGGGGTGAGGGAAACTCTCACTCATCCATTTGCTGTCCTGTTACCTCGGAACCCTAAGAGAACTTGTTAGTCACACACAGAATCTACCCCTGAATGTGGTGTGCAAAGTGGGGCTCTTAGCCTCCAGTGTGAAGTCCCTGGGAAGATGGAATGTCCCTGTGTGAGTGAAGGCTGTGCCACCGCCCAGCTATGTGGCCTTGGGCTAGGCAACCCCTCCCAGGTCCCCAGTTCCCCATCTGCATCGGAGACTGTGGCCAGTGCGGGAATCCACAAGGCCCTTCAGCCTCCAAAGCTCTGGGACAGAGGCCTCGTCCACAGGGAGGAAGGGGTCAGAGTGACCTGAGTCCCTACTCAGGAGCGAGTCTAATCCACTCTCCATCGGGGCCTGTGGGGAAGGGAAGATGAAGAAACGGAGCCTGCACCTGGCTATGTGGGCGCAGTAGATTAAGGGGAGGATGAGGGTTCCTGAGAGTGTGTCATGTGGCAGAGACCCTGCAGCACACTCAGGAAGGGCTCTGGAAGGATCCAAGGAAATTTTCCAAGAAGAGGGCAGAGTAAGTGACAGAGACCCTCAACCATGGATTTCACTGAGGTGCCCATGATGACATAGGGAGAACGGGGGTGTCTGGGCAGGAAGAATATCGTCAGGGTGAAATGAATGGTGATGAGCTTCGTGTCAGAGCTCCTGTGGAGGGAGGGGCCTGGCCCACATGAAAAGGTCTCTGATCCTACCCCAGCCCCCAGCCCCTGTTCTCCAGGATGACACTGTGGGAATTCCATCAGGAGGGGTGTGATAGGGCTGGTCTTCCTGGCTCGATTCACAACACTGGCTGGGGACTGGGAACCCATGGGGAGCCACAGGTGGAAAGGGAGGAGCCTCAGTGAACCCAGCAGGAACAAACATAGGGTCTGACATGATGGAACTCACTTCCTGGAGGCCAAGAAAGACACTTGCGGGACAAAAGGGAAAGAGCGGTGGCTTGCTTAGTTCCATTCACTGACAACCCACAGGAGATGTCCAGTCCTTTTTTGATTTATTATTTTATTTTATTATATTTTATTTTATTTTATTTTATTTTCACATGGAGTTTTGCTCCTATTGGCCAGGCTGGAGTGCAATGGCACGATCTTGACTCACTGCAACCTCCACCTCTCAGGTTCAAGCGATTCTCCTGCCTCAGCCTCCTGCATAGCTGGGATTACAGGCGACTGCCACCACAGCCAGGTAATGTTTGTATTTTTAGTAGAGATGAGGTTTTGCCATCTTGGCCAGGCTGGTCTCAAACTCCTGATCTCATGTGATCCGCCTGTATCAGACTGCCAAAGTGTTGGGATTACAGGCGTGAGCCACCACACCCAGCCTTTTGTATTTTTAGTAGAGATGGGGTTTCACCATGTTGGTCAGGCTGGTCTTAAACTCCTGACCTCAGGTGATCCATCCACCTCGGCCACCCAAAGTGCTGGGAGTACAGATGTTAGCCACCGTACCCAGCGAGAGTTTCAGTGCTCTATCGGATTCCCTGCCTACTCCATGTTGCATGTAATGTTCCACCTCAGGGATGTTTCTCTCCTTTCTGTCTCCTTCCTCTTCTCCTTCTCCTTTTTTCTTTCTAATTTTTATTTTTTTGAGACAGAGCCTTGCTCTGTTACCCAGGCTAGAGTACAGTGGCACGATCCCAGCTCACTGCAACCTCTGCCTCCTGGGTTCAAGAGATTCTCCTGACTCAGCCTCTCAAGTAGCTGGGATTACAGGCACCCGCCATCACACCCAGCTAGTTTTTGTATTTTTAGTAGAGACGAGGTTTCACCATGTTGGCCAGACTGGTCTTGAACTCCTGCCCTCAGGTAATCCACCCGCCTGTGGCCCCCCAAAGTGCTGGGATTACAGGCGTGAGTCACCACTCCCAGCCCTGAATGATCTTTCCTCTTTAGTGTGTTCTCACAACCACCTCTCACTGAGCTTTCTTGTTTTTTGTTTTTGTTTTTGTTTTTGTTTTTGTTTTTGGCAGAGTCTGGCTTTGTTGCCTATGCTGGAGTGCAGTGGTGCAATCTCAGCTCACTGCAACCTCCGTCTCCTGGGTTCAAGCGATTCTCCCACCTCAGCCTCCTGAGTAGCTGGGATTACAGGCACCCACCACCACACCCAGCTAATTTTTGCATTTTTAGTAGACACAGGGTTTCACCATGTTGGTCAGGCTGGTCTCGAACTCCTGACCTTGTGATCTGCCAGCCTCAGCCTCCCAAAGTGCTGGAATTACAGGCATGAGCCACCACTCCCAGCCCTGGATTATCTTTCCTCTTTAGTGTGTTCTCACAACTACCTCTCACTGCTGGGTTTTCTCTCTTTCTTTTTTTTTTTTTTTTTTTTTTTTTTTGAGACAGTCCGGCTTTGTTGCCCAGGCTGGAGTGCAGTGGCGCGATCTCGGCTCACTGCAAGCTCCACCTCCCAGGTTCAAGCGATTCTCCCACCTCAGCCTCCCTAGTAGCTGGGATTACAGGCGCATGCCAGCACACCCAGCTAGTTTTTGTATTTTTAGTAGAGACAGGGGTTTCACCATGTTGGTCAGGCTGGTCTTGAACTCCTGACCTTGTGATCTTCCTGCCTCGGCCTCCCAAAGTGCTGGGATTACAGGTGTAAGCCACTGCACCCAGCCAGCTTTCTCATTCTTATCCCTTAGTTCTCTGCCAGGGAATAAGATAGAAACCATTCCCTCAACCACATTCTAGTCATGGTCCCTATTCTCATGTTTCCACTTCTCTCTCTTTGGTAATAAATCAATTAATTGAGAAACAAGTAGCTAAATGTTCATCTTCTGCTAGTCTGCATCCCCTTATTTTCCCAGAGCCTCCCCTAATGAAACTGACTTTATTTACTGAACGCAGGAAATGGGTCTCTCCAGATCAGGATGACTTTCTGCTGGGAAATATTTGTCTTTGCATCAGTGGGGAAAAAGAAAGCCGATGTCATGAGTGGAGGCTCTGAGAAAATAAGGGCTGTGTTTTCAGTTTAGACCCAGCTAAGTTGGGAGCTGACATAGATATGATGTTGGGTCCACCCTCCACGGGCAGGTTTTCAGACAAAGGATCCCTGGCAATCAGGGGACACCTCAGGTCTGGGCTGAGATGTGTGCAGAGGGCCTGGGTCCTCCTGAGCCCCTGCACTGGGGGGGGAATAAGAGACAGGCCCAGCAAGGGGCTGTCCACTTCCTGTGGGTTCACAGCTGTGGGGACCCAGGCAGGCGGCAGCAGGCTCTGACTTAACCACATCCGTGCATCTGTCTGTCATGGAGGGCCATGTGGTCACCTGTCCCACAGCTGGAGCACGCAGAGCAGGCATCATGGTGTCCATCCTCACTGTTCTTCTGTGCCTCAGTCAGTGGTGGAGAGACGAGGGACAGGAGGGGCACTGGGCTGAGGTGGGGAGGGTCCCACAGCAGCCTTGTTCACCAGAGAGCCTCAGGGCTCCAGTGGCTACTGGTGCTCCAACAGGAAGGGAAGCAGCCACACCTCTGTGTTCCAAATCCCCCACAGGAAACTCTTCTCCATGGCTGAGTCTGGGCCAGAAAGCCCAAGCACTTGCAGGTGAGTCTCTGCTAACCTCCCATGCCTGACCTCACACTCAGCACCTGGACTCTCATCTCAGGGGCTTCTGAACTGAGGGTGAGAAAATCAAGAGGGTCTGTGACCTGAGCTGGGAATGAGGAGCGGGGGAGGTCTGTGGACCCCAGCCTGTGGTTTCTTCCAGGGACCCTCCCCAAACCCAGCCTCTGGGCTGAGCCAGGCTCTGTGATTACCTGGGAGAGCCCCATGACCCTCTGGTGCCAGGGGACCCTGGATACCCAGGGTTACTATCTCACCAAGGAAGGAAACCCCATGACCTGGTACCAACAGAGCCCACCAGAGCCCAGGAACAAGACCAACTTCTTCATCCCATCCATGAGAGAGCACCATGCAGGGAGATACCACTGTCACTATCTCAGCCCTGCAGGCTGGTCAGAGCGCAGCGAGCCCCTGGAGCTGGTGGTGACAGGTAAGAGGACACTCAGGGGTCCCAGCCCCAGGCTCTGCCTGCAGGAAGGGGGTCAGCTCTCAAGGGCATCTCCGTTCTAATAACTCAGCCCTGGGGGATGATGTGGGACGCGTGAGCCCCATTTAAGACAGTGTCTCCTTCTCTCCTAGGAGCCCACAGAAAACCCACTCTCTCAGCCCTGCCGAGCCCTGTGGTGACCTCAGGAGAGAACGTGACCATCCAGTGTAGCTCAAGGGTGGGATTTCACAGGTTCATTTTGATTGAGGAAGGAGAAAACAAGCTCTCCTGGATGCTGGACTCACAGGAACTCTCCAAGGGGCTGTCCCTTGTCCCTGGCCCTGTTCCCTGTGGGCCGTGTGGCTGCCAGTCACCGGTGGATGTTCAGATGCTATGGGCATTACACGAACTTCCCCTGGGTGTGGTCGGAACCCAGTGATACCATGGAGATCCTGGTCTTAGGTATGGATGTCTTCCTCCTTGCCCTATTTATTTTTGAGAACTTACTCTCACGGAGCCCCATGTAGGAGGGTGGAACAAGGGAAGTTTGGGACTCCTGAGCCCAGAGACACTGAGTGTGAGAGACAGTGAGACCTGCAGGGCCAGGAGGGGAGAAGGAAGGGGTGTGGGAGGAACCAGCCCTCCTAGTCCCGACTCTTCTTTCCCTCCAGGCGTGTCTAGGAAGCCCTCCCTCCTGACCCTGCAGGGCCCTGTCGTGGCCCCTGGGGAGAATCTGACCCTCCAGTGTGGCTCTGATGTCGGCTATGACAAATTCACTCTGTACAAGGAGGGGGGACATGACCTCGTCCAGGGCTCTGGCCGGCAGCCCCAGGCTGGGCTCTCCCAGGCCAACTTCACCCTGGGCCCTGTGAGGGTCTCCCACGGGGGCCAGTACAGATGCTACGGTGCACACAACCTCTCCTCCGAGTGGTCGGCCCCCAGTGACCCCCTGAGCATCCTGATCGCAGGTGAGGAGCCCAGCAGGTTCAGTCAGGGACCCAGGCTCCGCACAGGCCCTGCTGGGGGAGCCCAGGTGGTGATGGCCGGGATGAGGGGTGGGGGTCCTAAGGGACGGAGAGACAGACAGAGACAGGGGATGGGCGGGGAGGGGGAGACTCAGAGAAAACAGAGACAGAGACACTGAGGGTCCCAGGGAGAGGCCTGGGGAGGTGTCAGCTCAGAACGAGGTGGGGCAGCCCCTCACCCATCCTTCTTCTCTCCAGGACAGATCCGTGGCAGACCCTCCCTCTCGGTGCAGCCGGGCCCCACGGTGGCCTCAGGAGAGAACGTGACCCTGCTGTGTCAGTCACGGGAGCAGTTGGACACTTTCCTTCTGACCAAGGAGGGGGCAGCCCATCACCCACTGCGTCTGAGATCAGAGCACCAAGCTCAGCAGCACCAGGCTGAATTCCCCATGAGTCCTGTGACCTCAGCCCACGCGGGGACCTACAGGTGCTACAGCTCACGCAGATTCTTCCCCTACCTGCTGTCTCACCCCAGTGACCCCCTGGAGCTCGTGGTCTCAGGTGAGGCCGCTGACCCTGTCCTCTCTGAGCTCAAACCTCAGCTCAGGCCCTGCCCCCAGGAGAGCTCAGGACGCTAAGGAAAGAGGGGAGTAAAGGGGGAGGGTCGGCAGGGGAGGGCCCAGCCCATGAGAGGGTGGAAATAGTCAGGGACCTCCTAATCCTGGGCTCCCACCCCAGAGACCTCAGATGGGGCTAAAGGCCAGGGAGGGCTGAAATGAGATATGGAGAAACCTTGGAGGAATCATGCTTAGGCTGAGGGTAGAAGATGGAGGCCCCACCCACTCCCCACCTGGGCTCCCCTGGCGGCCCCAAAATACTCAGTGCATACCTGAGACGAAGGGGAGATCATGCACCTGCTCACTGCAGCAATGCAGGCAAATTATTCAACAGCAAACCTCGTGTGCAATTCCTTTCTGTCCTTTATTTTTTATGTCCACATATCTAGTTTCTCTTTCTGTTTCTGAAGATTTCAAAGCAATGCTGGCATTTATAATTTACACATTTAATTTGTTAGGTAGCGTTATGATGTAAAATAACTGTGCTCTGATTTTCTTTGGGATTAAATTAAATATGTGCATTCATGATGGAGAATAACTTCTCATTAATAATGTCTTTGTATCCAATACATTTAAAATTAAACTTTATACAGTTAGCAGATGCTTGAAGTTGTATTCATAAAAATTGTGGACATTGTGAATTTTAAGCATTGTTTTACTACTTGAATAATTTGAAAGTCTTTGATTCCTTTCTATTTTCTAAAATTAGTTACGTATGGATGAGAAAGCTATTGGTTTGGGTATGCTAATTTTAGTTCCTATTAACTTACCACAGACACACTCCCTTTCAATCCTTTCCGAAATGATCTCTTCTGATTTATTGATAATAATTACATTAACCACAAGAAAATGGAGGACAAACTTGTTTGTTTCTAAATTATATAATACTCTTCTCACTTCAAATATATATGTATGTGTTTATATATACTCACACACTATTATATATCTTATAATATATATTATGTATTATATATTTATATATACACTATTATATATCTTATATATTATGTATTATATATTTATATATACCCACACATTATTATATCTTATAATATATATTATGTATTATATATTTATATATACCCACACATTATTATATCTTATAATATATATTATGTATTATATATTTATATATGCACTATTATATATCTTATATATTATGTATTATATATTTATATTACCCACACATTATTATATCTTATAATATATATTATGTATTATATATTTATATATACACACACTATTATATATCTTATTATATATTATGTATTATATATTTATATATACTATTATATATCTTATAATATATAATGTATTATATATTTATATATACACACACTATTATATATCTTATATATTATGTATTATATATTTATATATACATACTATTATATATCTTATAATATATTATGTATTATATATTTATATATATACACTATTATATATCTTATTATATATTATATATTTATATATGCACACACTATTACATATCTTATTATATATTTATATGTATACACACACTATTATATATCTTATTATATATTATGTACTATATATTTATATATACTATTATATATCTTATAATATATAATGTATTATATATTTATATATACACACACTATTATATATCTTATATATTATGTATTATATATTTATATATACATACTATTATATATCTTATAATATATTATGTATTATATATTTATATATATACACTATTATATATCTTATTATATATTATATATTTATATATGCACACACTATTACATATCTTATTATATATTTATATGTATACACACACTATTATATATCTTATTATATATTATGTACTATATATTTATATATACTATTATATATCTTATAATATATAATGTATTATATATTTATATATACACACACTATTATATATCTTATATATTATGTATTATATATTTATATATACATACTATTATATATCTTATAATATATTATGTATTATATATTTATATATACACACTATTATATATCTTATTATATATTATATATTTATATATGCACACACTATTACATATCTTATTATATATTTATATGTATACACACACTATTATATATCTTATATATTATATATTTATATATACTCACACTATATCTTATAATACATATTATGCATACACATATGCATAATACATATTATCTATACACATATGCATAATACATATTATGTATACACATATGCATAACACATATTATGTATACACACATATTTACACCTATGCATATATGTATGTATGTATGCGAATGTACCTCTGCCACGGCAGGGAAAGGTTCTATCACACAACTACAGAGCAGTTAGGAGAAGTGTAGACACAAAGGAATGCAGCAACTGAGGGACATGTTGGCTTAAGTCTCTTCAACTCCTCACACACCTCCCCCTTTTTTGGTTGATTCTCAGGAGCAGCTGAGACCCTCAGCCCATCGCAAAACAAGACAGACTCCAAGACTGGTGTGTAAGGAGATGCTCTCGGTTATGGGGCTGGCACAGAGGGTCAGGTCCTGTGAAGGGGAGGTGGGTGCCCTGGGTGGACATCCAGGGGTCCCGGGTGATGTTGATCTGCCCTGACCTCTGAGACCTCTTGGTCCACCATCCCCAGCCTCACACCCCCAGGATTACACAGTGGAGAATCTCATCCGCGTGGCTGTGGCTGGCTTGGTCCTGGTGGTCCTCGGGATTCTGCTGCTTTAGGACTGGCACAGCTAGAGAAGTCCCCAAGATGCAGCAAGGAGGTAAATACATGAGAGAACAATGCACCCTTCAGAGTGCCAGAGCCTTGGCAATGAATCTGATAGTCCTAGGAGGTTCTGGAAGAAAGTCTGGACCATCATTCGGGAAACCGTCTACTGAGAAAGTCGAGAAGGGGAGGCTTGGGTCAGGTTCAGGAAGATGTCTGGGTGCCTGTAGAGAACGCTTCCTCCATTAAACTTCCATTAAATGGCAGTGCTTTCAGTCCTGCTGTTGTGGATCCTCCGTGTCTGCCCCTCCCTTCCTTTCGCTCTCTGTGATGTGAAGGCACGTCCCCCATGGTGGGTTTGCATCCACACCCCTGCGATCACGTGCTCTGGTCCACTGTCATGTAATACATTTGTCTTTGTTTCCAACTACCGCATTCTCTAAAGTGAACTATTGATTCTCCATCTTTTCAGTTCTGAGCATAGATCTGGATTAAATAACTGGAATAGGTGGGCAGATTTGTATTTGGGACTTTGAAACATGAGTCTGAGGCCAGGCACAGTGGCTCACACCTGTAATCCCAGCACTTTGGGAGGCTGAGGTGGGCGGATCACTTGAGGTCAGAAGTTCGAGACCAACCTGGCCAACATGGTGAAACCCTGTCTCTACTAAAAGATACAAAAATTAGCTGGGTGTGGCAGTGAGCACCTGTAATCCCAGCTGCTCAGGAAGCTGAGGCGGGAGAATAGCTTGAACCCGGGAGGCGGAGGTTGCAGTGAGCCAAGATCTTGCCACTGCACTCCAGCCTGGGCAACAGAGCAAGACTCCATCTCCAAAAAAAAAAAAAAAAAGGGAAATATGAGTCTGAAATGATGCCCTAGCACCCTCTCTGGACCCTGAATTCCCTTCACTCTTCATCGGATGATACCTGTGTACTTTGTCCAGAAATATCATCTCTCAGAATGAGCACACTAACGCTCGAAGGCTCAGCCTCATGGTATTCTGTTAAACTGGCTCTCTGAAAAAATTATTTTCTTAAGAAAACTCTGAACATATAAAGCCCCAGATTTATGGTATTTGCTGATTAGTGTGGTATAAATACGTCCTTTATGGCCAACTTCAGGGTGCCCATATGACGCCATTGAATGCACAGTTGGGAAGTAGTCAAAAGAATTGTCGTTCACACGAGTATGAACCAGTTGTAAAGTTTATTTAAAGGTTATAATAATTTCTGCTTCATTCTTATGGTGTAGTTTCAGTAAAATTGTAATGTCAAAAATCATAGCACAATGGAGGGAAAAGAAAAAAATAGGCCGGGTGTGGTGGCTCATGCCTGTAATCCCAACACTTTGGGAGGCCGAGGCAGGAGGATCACCTGAGGTCAGGAGTTCGAGACCAGCCTGGCCAACATGGTGAAACGCTGTCTCTACTAAAAATACAAAAATTAGCCAGACATGGTGGCGCCTGCCTGTAATCCCAGCTACTTGGGAGGCCAAGGCACGAGAATCGCATGAACCCAGGAGGCGGAGGTTGCAGTGAGCCGAGATCACTACAGCCTGGGTGATAGAGCAAGACTCAGTCTCAAGAAAAGAAAAAAGTAGCAAAATCATTTTTTGGAAAGAATATTGAACATGTAGAATTTTAGTACATTAATAGTAAGAGTACAAATTGCTTTAATCAATTAAGGAAGTGTATTGGAATTATCTAGTTAAAAAGAGGAGGCACATGGCTGTGACCCTTCTTAATTATGTACTTAATTATGTACCCTAGAGATAAATGTCTACTTATGTGTCATGATACACTCACAACTGTTATAGGAATGCTGTTCCTATTAGCCAAAGCTATAAAATACCAAAGTCCACCTACGAAAAAAATAAACATAGTGTGGTAAATAGACTCAGTGGAATATTACAAGGTAGTAAAATGCATAAATGAAAATAACAAACAGCACCATACTTCAATTTTCAAGCATAAAGTCAAGTAAATGAAGTATTATTTGAAAATGTGTGCATGGTTATTTCATTACATAAAGGTCAAAAGGAGGGTACATTTATTATTTAGGAAAACACACCTAAGATATCTTTGTAAAATCTGTAAAATCAATAGTACTGTTTCCCCTCTTTCATTCCTTATCTTGAAAATGCTTGTCTCTTTTTCTGCCATGGCTTTCTACCTTGCTTGATATATTACAATTTTGTAACCTGCTTATTTCATCATATGTCATAAGTTCACATGTATATCCCATGAATTATTGAGGGTCTTATTCATTTCAAGTGGCATTTAGGTTTTTAAAAATATCTTTTGGCGACCAGGTGCAGTGGCTCATGCCTGTAATCCCAGCACTTTGGGAAGCCAAGGCAGGTGGATCACGAGTTCAAGAGACAGAGATCATCCTGGCGAACATGGTGAAACCCCGTCTCTACTAAAAATACAAAAAAAAAAAAAAAAATAGCTGGGCATGGTAGAGGGTGCCTGTAGTCCCAGCTTCTCAGGAGGCTGAGGCGGGAGAATGGCATGAACCCGAGAGACGGAGGTTGCAGTGAGCCGAGATCGTGCCACTGCACTCCAGCCTGGCAACAGAGTGAGACTCTGTCTCAAAAAAAAAAAAAAAAGAAAGAAAGAAAGGAAGAAAAAAAAATCTTCTGGCATTAACTATTAAGAAATTGCACTATAAAAAGAGAATATAATGCATAAGACGGCAATTTGAAAAGATTCAGATATAATTTTTTCTTATCTAGTAAATACTTAGTAATTTGTCTAATGCATGCCTTAAATACATACCACTTTATGCAGAGGTTGCCATGAGCCGAGATCGCGCCGTTGCACTCTAGCCTGGGTGGCAGAGCAAGACTCCATCTCAAAAAAAAAAAAGAAAATCTCACAGAAGGAGACCCAGAGCTTCCAGCCTCGCCCAGAGTCTTGGCTCACTCCCTGTGTGTGTGGACCCTAGGGAGCCTCTTCTGTTCCCCACAGAGGTGGAAACTTCCTCCTTAATAACCCCTTGATGGTCCCAGGCACTGGTGACCACTGAGCTTTGCTCTCTCTTTTTTCTTATGGTTCCCTGTCTACTTCCAGGGCTATCACTTTACTTTTTGTGCATTAGACCATGAATAATGTTTTAGAAACATTCTATCAAATTTCTCAGTGCTAGGAACAACTGAGGTTTTTGATTGGGTGCCTCAAATGTCTACCCTTACTGTGGAGTCCGACAACAGGATTCTAACAAGTCCCAACCCCTTCATGCCTTAACCTGGTCTGGAAATAAATTATGTTTAAGCCATCCCATACCCCAGCCACATCAAGCCCCACAACCACTCTGAGAAGTGAGATTTATAGCAAAATGCTCCAAACAAGGTAACTAAGGTTCAGACAAGGGATGTTAATGTGTCCATTTACATAAACAAAAAATGGTAGATGATCAGCTTTCCCTTTGAAATCAGAGTACTAATCTGACTCATTGTTCCCTGAATTTTAGAGGCAGGACCTCAGGAGGAGCTAAGAATCCTACCCCAGGAAAATTACCAATATCAGAAAGGAAACAATGACATCAGTACAGATCCTACAGAATTCAAAAGATTCTAAGTGGACATTATGAAGACATTATTCAGCTTAGATGAAGTGGTCACATATCACAAGAAAACAAACTGTCTAAAACAATCTCTGAAATACCTAGACATTCCCTGAATCATTGAGTTATTAAATAAAATACATTTTAAAATTAAACTCTTTTCAGGAAATAAACTTCAATGTCCCCTAGTGCACTCTCCAAAACATGTAGATGGGAATAAATACTGTTCTGAAAGACATTTCCCTGGAATTACAACCATTCAATATATTTTAAAAGGCAATCATAAAAATATAAAAAGGATATATCAGGAGAAGAAATGTAAATGGCCTAAATTCCCCACATAAAAGGCATAGAGTGGCAACGTGGATAAAAAGCCAAGAGCCAACTGCCTGCTGTCTTCAAGAGACCCATCTCACATGTAATGACACCCACAGGCTCAAAGTAAAAGGATGAAGAAATATTTACTAGGCAACCAGGAAACAAAAAAAAGGAAGGCATTCCTATTCTTATATCACATGAAACACACTTTAAATCAACAGCAATCAGGAAGGACAAAGAAGGGCATTACAAAATGATAAAGGGTTCAATTTGACAGAAGACTTAACTATTCTAAATATATATGCACCCAAATTTGGAGCACCCCGATTCATAAAACAAGTTATTCTTCACCTATGAAAAGAGTTAGACAGCCACACAATAATAGTAAGGGACTTCAGTATCCCACTAACAACGTCAGATGAATCACTAAAACAGAAAACTAACAAAGAAATTCTGGTCTTAAAGACAACACTTGACCAATTGGACCTCATAGACATCTACAGAGTACTCCACCCAACAACTGCAGAATATAGATTCTTCTTATCTGCACACACAAAAAACATATCATATTCTAAGACTGGCCACAAAGCAAGTCTCAATAAATTCAAAGAATCAAAATCATAACAAGGCACACAATAAAAATAGAAAAAAATACCAAGATGATCTCTCAAAACTACAGAAAAACATGGAAATTTAACAACTTGTTTCTGAATGAATATTAAGAGCCATCTATGACAAATCCACAGCCAACATCATATTGAATGGTCAAAAGCTGGAACTGTACCCCTTGAGAACTCTTGGGTGAACAATGAAATTAAAGCAGAAATCACAAAACATTATTTAAAATTAATAAAAATAGAAACAAACTTACCAAAACCTTTGGGATGCAGTTAAAGCAGTGATAAGAGGAAAATTTATAGCAATACATGCCTCATCAGAAGTTTAGAAAGATCTCAAATTAGTGACTTAACACTGCATCTAGAGGAACTATTAAAAAAAAGGAACAGTCCAAACCCAAGGCCAGCAAAAGATGAGAAATAACTAAAGTCAGAGAGAACTGAATAAATTGAGACCAAAAAGTCCATACAAGAGATAAATAAAACCAAGAGTTTTTCTTTGAAAAAAAATAAACAAAATTCATAGACTGTTAGCTAGATTAACAAAGAAAAAGAGAAAAGATCCAAATAAACACAAATAGAACTGACAAAACAATGTTACGAACAATCCCACAGAAATAGAAAAGATCGTCAAAGACTATTATGAACACCTCTATACAAACAAGCTAGAAAACCTAGAAGAAATGGATAAATTCCTGGTAACACAAAATTTATCATATTTCAACCAGGAAGAAAGTGAAAACCTGAACAGACCAATAACAAGTTCAGAAATTTAATCAGTAATAAAAACCCTACTAACTAAAAATAGCCCAGGACCAGATGGATTCACAGCCAAAATCCAACAGCCATACAAAGAAGAACTGATACCGATCTTACTGAAACTTTTGGAAAAAATCAAGGAGTGGGGGCTTCTTCCTAACTCATTCTATGAAGCCATCATCACCATGATACCAACATCTGTCAGAGACATAATGAAAAAAAGAAAACTACAACTAAATATCCTTAATGAACATAGACATAAAATCCTCAACAAAATGCTAGCAAATTGAATCTGTCAGTGCATCAAAAGTTAATTCACATGATCAAGTAAGCTTTATTTTTGGGATGCAAGGTTGGTTCAACCTACAAAGTCAACGAATGTGATTCACCTCATAAACATAATTAAAAACAAAAACTATATGATCATCTCAATAGATGCAGAAAAAGCTTTCTGTAAAATCCAACATCCCTTCATGATAAAAACTGTCAATAGGCATCAAAGGAACATACCTCAAAATATTAAGAGCCATCTATGACAAACCCACAGCCAACATCATATTGATGGGCAAAAGCTGGAACCATACCCCTTGAGAACCGAAACAAGACCAGGATGACCACTCCCGCCATTTTAATTCAACATGGTACTGGAAGTCCTAGCCAAAGCAATCAGGCAAGAGAAGGAAATAAAAGGCATTAAAATTGGAAAAGAAGTAGTGATACTGTCTCTCTTTGCTGATGAAATAATTTTATACATAGAAAACCCTAAAGACTCTGTCAGAAGGCTCCTGAAACTGATAAACAAATTCAATAAAGTTTCGGGATTAAAAAAATGTACACAAATTAGTAACATTTCTATGCACCACTAACATTCTAGCTGAGAACTAAATCAAGAACACAATTCCATTTACACTAGCCACAAAGAAAATAAAATACCTAGGAATCCATCTAACCAAGAAGGTGAAAATTCTCTACAAGGAGAACTACAAAACACTTCTGAAAGAAATAAGAAATGATACAAACAAATGGAAGAATATTCCATGCTCATGAATTAGGAGAACAAATAGTTAAAATCGCCATACTTCCAAAAACAAATTGCAGACTCAATGCTATCCATTTCAAAATGCAATGTCATTTTTCACGAAATTATAAAAATTTATTCTAAAATGTATTTGGCACCAAAAAAAGAGCCTGAATACACATAGGAATCCTAAGCACAAAGAACAAAGCCCAGGCATCACATTACCCAACTTCAAACTATACTACAATGCTATAGTAACCCAAACAGCATGATACTACTACAAAAACAGACACATAGACCAATGAGACAGAATAGAGAACCCAGAAATGAGGCTACATACCTACAATCATCTTTGAAAAAATTGACAAAAACAAGCAATGTGGAAAGTACCCTTTCTTCAATAAATAGTTCTGGGATAACTGACTACTCATATGCAAAATAATAGAACTGGACCCCTAACTCTCACTATATACAAAAATTAACCCAAGATAGTTTAAAGATTTAAATGTAAAACCTCAAAATATTAAAATTCTAGAAGAAAACCTAGGAAATATCCTTCTCAAGATAGACTTTGGCAAAGAATTTATGGCTAACTCCCCAAAACCAATTGTGACAAAGACAGAAATTGGGACCTAACTCAACTGAAGAGCTTCTGCACAGCAAACGAAAGTATCAACAGAGTAAACAGATAACCTACAGACTGGGAGAAAATATTTGCAAACTATGCATCTGACAAAGTTCTAATATCCAGAATCTATAAGGAATGTAAACAAATCAACAAGCAGAAAACCAAAAAACCTCAATTAAGTATGACATGAACAGACACTTCTCAAAAGAAGATGTACACATGGCCAAAAAACATATGAACAAATGCTTATTATCAGTAATCATCAGAGAAATGCAAATTAAAACCACAGTGAGATACCATCTCACAACAATCAGAGAAGCAGAAGCAATTACTAAAAAGTTTTTTGTTTTTTTTAATAACAGATGCTGACAAGATTGTGGAGAAAAGGGAACACTTATACACTCTTGGTGGGAATGTTAACTAGTTCAGCCAATGTGATAAGCAGTTTGGAGACTTCTCAAATAACTTAAAATAGAACTACTATTCAATCAAGCAATCCCACTACTGGGTATATACCAAAAGGAAGGTAATTAACTATGTCAAAAAGACACATGCACTAGTATATTCATTGCTGTGCAATTCAGAATAGCAAAGATTTGCAGTCAACCTAAGTGCTCACCAACAGTGGATTAGTTAAAGAAAATGTGCTACATATACACATGGAACATTACATGGCCATAAAAAATAATGAAATCATGTCCTTTGCAGCAACATGAATGTAGCAGGAGGTCAATCTCCTAAGTGAACTAACCCAGGAACAGAAAACCAAATACCACATGTTATCACTTATAACTGAGAACCAAACATTGAATACACATGAACATAAAGATGGAAACAACAGATACCGAGGACTACAGATGGGGGGAGGAGTAGGGAGGTATAGGCTGAAGAAACACCTGTTGGATTCTATGCTCATTGCCTGGGTGATGGCATTGTTGGAACCACAAACCTCAGAGTCACACAATATGCCTATGTAACAAACCTGCATGCATACCTTTAATCTACAGTAAAGGTTGAAGTTATTTAAAAATAGGAAGAAGAATTACCCTATACCTAAAGCTAAGATTTTTCCCTTTGAATATTCGTTTCTTCATCACTGTAGATAAGCAGGGAAAGAAAAATTATTATACTATACTAGCCTTTTATGTGACCATGAGGATTTGGGGTAGGTAGGTGGACAGCTTAGATAATTCACCAGGATATTGATACAGGCTCCATGGCTGGAAATAACCAAGGATGAGTGCTGTGTTTTGAGTGGTCTCCCCCAGAAACGTTTGTTGAAATCCTAACCCCTGGTATGTATGAATGTGAATTCATATTATATAAAAAGGAATAAATAGCCTGAGCACAGTGGCTCACACCTGTAATCCCAGCACTTTGGGAGGCCAAAGCAGGTGGATCATTTGAGGTCAGGAGTTCTGGCCAATATGGCAAAACTTCATCTCTACAAAAAAAAAATACAAAAAAAAAAATTGGCTGGGTATGGTGGCGCATGCCTGTAGTCCCAGCTACTCAGGAGGCTGAGGCAGGAATTGCTGAAACCTGGAAGGCAGAGGTTGCAGTGAGCCAAGATCATGCCACTGCACTCCAGCCTGGGTGAGACGGCAAGATATTCTGTCAAAAATAAATAAATAAAAAACAGAAGAAGAAATACAAGAATGACAGCAAACTTTGTATTCAAAACTATGAAAGTAAGAAATAGGTGGACCAACATTTTTAAAGTGCTACAAGAAAATATTTCAAACTAGAATCTTTCAACCTGAAAAGGAAAACATTTTCCTGCAATAAAGGTGCCATTAAAAATGTCTCACAATTTATTACATGAAGCATTGTTCTACAATAAATGTTAAGCTCTTGAAGCAAAGATTAATGATACCATTTAGTAACTTGAAATTCAAAAAAGTGGAAGTATCCCAAGAGGCAAATACGTGTGCAATTATTAAATGTTTCATATCAACACCCAACCTTATGCTGTCTACATAAGCTGCACTTCAAATACTAATCCACAAGATGTAAATATTGAAAGAATGACATTACATTGTCATGATAATGCCCAGTGCAAAATATGCTTCTAGTCAGTTGTATACATAGAATAGGTAAATGTTTGTAATAAAAAGTATTCCTCAATAGAAGTTTCTTAACTCAAAGAATGAAATATTTCACCATGCACATACAAAGAAGAGATATATGGAGATATGAAGAGGAGTACTTCATAATGACAAAGAGGCAAATTCATAAATAAGACATAATAATCCTAAATGCCTACACACCTAAAGCTGGAACCTCAAAACACATTAAATTAAAGGCATAATTCAAAACATAATCAATCACATCCAAATTGCAGCTAGAGATAGCAACATTCACCTCACTTCCAGAACAAGTACACAGAAAATTATTAAGCATATGAAAGACTTGAAAAACATTTGTGTAGGCGGCGGGTGCATAAGGTTGGGTGTTGATATGAAACATTTAATAATTTCAATAATCCTAGCACTTTGGGAGGCCAAAATGGGAGGATCACTTGAGGCCAGGAGTTTGAGACCAGCCTGGGCACCATAGTGAGACCCCGTCTCTATTTTTTTTAAATAAAGAAAAACATTTGAATGATTTTTTTCTTAACTGACATTTAGAAAACATCCACCTCAAATCTTCCTAATCCACAAACTTGTCTAGCACCCCTGGAACATTCACCAAAATAAATTTTTAAATGCTGAATCATAGGTAATATGATAGATGAAACAGTTGAATTAAATTATAAATGTACAACAAGGAAATGCTGGGGAAATTATCAAATATTTTAAAATTAATAAACACACATAGCAATAAACAATGAGTGGAAGAAAAACATTTCAAAGAAAGGTGGAAAATATTTTGTATCAATTAAAAATGAAAACACATCTCGGCAAATGACTGGGGATACAGATAGAACAGTGTTAAAGGAAAATAAGCCTCAAATGTCTGTGTTAGAAAAGAAGGAAGAGCTGAGTAAATAGGTAACTTTCGCTTGCAGAAATACTACACATCAGCAAATTAATTCCAAAGTAACGTCGAGGAAAAACATAAAATGGCAAGCAAATATATACGTGCATATGTACGTATATTCATAAATGACAAACAGGACAGAAAAATCAGTGACATCAATTTTGTTCCTTAGAAGAAACAGGAAAATTGACCCCAAAAAACTTTCCAGGCCACATTTGGTCATGATGGAAATATTTTGGCACTTCCTGGTTAAGCTCAACACCAACTTGCACCCAAAACCAATAATTTCATTCCTAGGTAAATATGTCTAATTAATTCAGCATATGTATGCAAGGGATCACACAGAAACACGATTATCAAGGCCCGAGTTATAAAAGAGAAAATCCGGAAACAACACAAATGTCCATGATAAAAAGAGTGGATAATTACATGTTGATAAAGTTATGTATGGACTATTAAACTGCAATCCAAAAGAATAAAATAGAACTATAAAATTCAATATGTATATGGTGTCATAGAAACACAAATGTGAGAAAAAGAAAGAAAAATACAAAATTTATATTTTTTAAAATTTGAAACAACTATATATGTGAGTGCTTAGGGTGTGTGTGTGTGTGTGTGTGTATAACCATATGTATATAAATGCACACATACGCACACATATAGAATGTCCCGGCCAGGCATGGTGGCTCACACCTGTAATCTCAGCACTTTGGGAGGCTGAAGTAGACAGATCACTTGAGGTTAGGAGTTCAAGACCAGCCTGGCCAACATGGAGAAACCTCCTCTCTACTAAAAGTACAAAAATTAGGTGGGCGTGGTGGTGGGTGCCTGTAAATCCAGCTACTTAGGAGGCTGAGGCACGAGAATTGCGTGAACCTGGGAGGTGGAGGCTGCAATGAGCCGAGGTCTCACCACTGCATTCCAAACTGGGTGACGAAGTGAGATTGCGTCTCAAAAAAAAAAAAAGTTCTAAAAGTTGTGACTTGGGTGTGGCAGATTGTGACATACTGCCAGCTGCTAGAAATGCTGGGGCAGGAGGATTGCTTGAACTCTGAAGTCAAAGAACAGCCTGGGGAAAATAGCACATGAAGAAGAGTTTGAATCTCAGATAAAAACAACAAAAATACATCAAAAGTCTTTAATGTAAGCCAAGCATTCAGTCATCTCCTGTATGAGAGATTGGATCTGAGACGTGTTTTGAGTTGGTTATAGTGAAGGATGCAAGGTGTCAATTCTAGTTGGAACAATTTCCAGGAAGCCATGTTCTGCTCTTGACCAAACAGCCACTGGGCCTCATGCAAGGTAGAAATAGCCTGCATACGTCATCCTCCCATGATGTGGTCAGCATGTAAACTGCATGAGCCCCTCACAACATCCTGTGTGCTGCTGAACTGAGCTGGGGCGCAGCCGCCTGTCTGCACCGGCAGCACCATGTCGCTCATGGTCGTCAGCATGGCGTGTGTTGGTGAGTCCTGGAAGGGAATCGAGGGAGGGAGCGGTGGGGTGGAGATCTGGGCCTGGAGTGGAGATATGGGCCTGGAGTGGAGATATGGGCCTGGAGTGGAGATATAGGCCTGGAGTGGAGATATGGGCCTGGGGTGGAGATATGGGCCTGGAGTGGAGATATGGGCCTGGAACTGTAGATATGGGCCTGAAGTAGAGATATGGGCCTGGAGTAGAGATATGGGCCTGGAACTGTAGATATGGGCCTGGAGTGGAGATATTGGCTTGGAGTGCAGATATGGACCTGGAATTGAGATACGGGCCTGGAGGTGGAGATATGGGCCTAGAGTGGAGATATGGGCCTGGAGGTGGAGATATGGGCCTGGAACTGTAGATATGGGCCTGGAGTAGAGATATGGGCCTGGAGTGGAGATGTTGGCTTGGAGTGCAGATATGGGCCTGGAATGGAGACACGGGCCTGGAGGTGGAGATACAGGCCTGGAGGTGGAGATATGGGCCTGGAGTGTAGATATGGGCCTGGAGTAGAGATATAGGACAGAGGTGGAGATATAGGCCTGGAGTGGAGATATGGGCCTGGAGTAGAGATATAGGACGGAGGTGGAGATATGGGCCTGGAGTGGAGATATGGGCCTGGAGGTGATGTACAGATGGATCATCCATCATGATCTTTCTTTCCAGGGTTCTTCTTGCTGGAGGGGCCCTGGCCACATGTGGGTGAGTCCTTCCCCCAAACCTTAGGTTGTCATCTCCCCACATAAGATGATGTTCCTGAAACGGGAGGCAGGCGACACAGGGGGTTGACTGATGGGCTGACCATGGGAAGCCATGTGGGAATCTCTCATGAACTAGGAAAAGGAAGCCAGGGGAAGCTTCGCCACAGTTCTGTCCTAGCCCTCCCCGGCCTTTCTTTCCCTTGGCTGAGTCTGTGGGGACCCAGGGGGAGACTGAAGTGCTCAAAGGAGTGGTGTGCAGGGAGGAAGTGGTGTCACCGGCAGAGGAAGGGAGAGAAGCAGTGCAAGGAACAACAGGCCTCTGAGGACAAGAGCATAACTCACACCCTCCAGCGTTTCCATGACGGTAGGGGCTGCAATGTGGCTGCTGTCATTCTACCTAAGAGGTGGGGGAACCACAGTCATGACCCTGACATTCCAGATCTTCTAATAGGGGCTCAGTTGTTTATTATGGTTCATGCATTAGCTGATCATGCCCTCCATCCTGTGTCTACCTTGTGTTCTTTTATGTAAGTAATTTTGCAGTGTTAAAATCTAGTAAGAGTCGCTTCTTCAGCACCTGCTCAAAGTTCTCAGCTGACACTTGCTGTAGGGAGACGCCATGTCTATGCGGGATGGGTCCTTCCTGTAGCCCTGGGCACCCAGGTGTGGTAGGAGCCTTAGAAACGTGGAAATGGGAGAATCTTCTGAGCACAGGGAGGGAGGGGCAGCTCCACATCCTCCTCTCTAAGGTAGTGCCTCCTTCTCCCCCAGGTGGTCAGGACAAGCCCTTCCTCTCTGCCTGGCCCGGCACTGTGGTGTCTGAAGGACAACATGTGACTCTTCAGTGTCGCTCTCGTCTTGGGTTTAAAGAATTCAGTCTGTCCAAAGAAGACGGGATGCCTGTCCCTGAGCTCTACAACAGAATATTCCGGAACAGCTTTCTCATGGGCCCTGTGACCCCAGCACATGCAGGGACCTACAGATGTTGCAGTTCACACCCACACTCCCCCACTGGGTGGTCGGCACCCAGCAACCCTGTGGTGATCATGGTCACAGGTCAGAGGCTTTCTGTCTGGGCTTCTCACTGTCCCACCTCCTGAATCCCAGAGCTTCTGGTGGGGGTGTCCATCAGGGTCCAATCATCCAGGCCCTGGCTGTATTTGGGGTAAAGGGGGATTCAGTACAGAGAAATAGTTGCTGTGGTGGGAAGAATAATTGTCCCCAGTGATGGCTACATGGTAATCCATGAACCCTGTGACTATTTATGTCATAGGGCAGGGGACTGAAGGGGAAGATGGAGCTCAGGTTGTTGATGAGTTGACCTTGCGATGGGGAGACAGCCTGGACTGTCCTGCTGTGCTCAGAGTAATCACAAGGGTCCTCATGAGAGGAGGAGGAAGAGGAAAGTGGGGTTAGAGCAACGTCGTGGGAGGGAGACTCCATCAGCCACAGCGGGCTTTGAAGATGGGGGAAGGCCATGAGCCACAAAGGCAGTTGGCCTCTAAGGGCTGGAGAAGTCAAGGGAACTGATTCTTCCCTGAGTCTCCAGAGGAAACACAGCCCTGTAGATGCCTTGATTTTAGCCCAGAGAGAACTGGGTCCGATTTCTGTTCTCCAGAAGTGGAAGGGGTCATTGTATTCTCTCCTGCCCCATGTTTGTGACAATTTTCTCCAGCAGCAACAGGAAACCAACACAGGAACCCAGGTGAAGCACAAGTTAAGAAACCAAACAAGGAGAAGGTTGGCTACACTGATTTTAGCATGGGTGGGATACTGATGCTACCACCAGGCTCGATCCACATAGGGAGGGGTTGATGCTCCTGGAACCAGCACCAGGGGCCACCCTATGGAAGCTGGGGCCATGGAGAAGGCACAGACATGACAGGAGAGGCTCCCAATCCCCATCAGGAACAGGGACACTGATGCCTGCCTTACTGATGAGTTCGTACCTCCTGCCAGCCTTTCCAATCTGTCCAAAAGAGATTGATTCAGGCTGCTAAGAGCCTGGACATGCAGCCTGTCGTGGTTCCTCTTCCACCCCTACATAAACACCAGGAAAGAGATTAGTGGGAAACAGATACAACAGCCTAAGAGGTGACACTGAGCACAGTGGGAAGGGAATCAGGGCTACTAGAGACAGAGAGACAGGGAAGAGGGAGGGAGACAGATGGAGGGACCTGCAACAGGGGTTATGGGCACAAAGGAACACGGAGACACAGACAGGAAGGAGAGAGATAGACACCATGGAGGGGAAGCCTCACTTATTTCAGGTCCCATGAATGGGATGAGAAAGGGAGACGCCTTCTGAACTCACAACCTCTCTTCTTAGGAGTCCACAGAAAACCTTCCCTCCTGGCCCACCCAGGTCCCCTGGTGAAATCGGGAGAGACGGTCATCCTGCAATGTTGGTCAGATGTCAGGTTTGAGCGCTTCCTTCTGCACAGAGAGGGGATCACTGAGGACCCCTTGCGCCTCGTTGGACAGCTCCACGATGCGGGTTCCCAGGTCAACTATTCCATGGGTCCCATGACACCTGCCCTTGCAGGGACCTACAGATGCTTTGGTTCTGTCACTCACTTACCCTATGAGTTGTCGGCTCCCAGTGACCCTCTGGACATCGTGGTCGTAGGTGAGAGAATACAGACCTGCCTCTCACCCTTGCTGGGAGATGGAGTGAATGATCTAGGACTGGAAGCCCCAGGTGGTCATGAGGAAGATGAGTGTGGGGTTCCTATGGAGAGAAAGTGACTTGGTGAGGTCTGTACCAACAAAGGCAGAGAAACAGGAGACACAAGTACAGACCTCATGTCATAACATAGAAGCCAGACACAGGGGCCATACAAGGTGTTAGAAAAAGAGATAAAGAGGTAAAGAAGACACAGAGAGACAGATATATCCCAGAGAGAGGTGTCCTTCTATGCTGACTTTGTTCAGAGACCAGGCACAGGTTAGAAGGTTCCATTCTGTTTTACCTCTACAAAGTGTTCTCTCCCAGGAGAACCCAAAGAGACACATCTATCTGGCCTGAGTTGGGCCGTGTGGCCCCAGGCTGGTGGCACCTACAGATGCTGTGTTTATTCTTAAACCTCTGCCTTCCGTGCAGTGGAGCTGTCATCGTCCCAGGACACCATGGCCCCAGGTGAGGGAGCAGAACACCAACCCCTGTATGTTGTGAGTTCCTGGAGTCCCCATACTGGATTCTGAGGCTCATATTCAAATAGCACCACATGTTATAGGATTACTGAGAACAAAAGCCCACAGAGAGACACGGAGTGAAATCAGGGAAATCAAAAAGCAAAGACATGAACACACACACAGAATGAGCCAGAAGAAGGGAATTGAGAGACTCACAGACACATAAAGAGACAGAAAAAGAGGGCAGAGAAGTGGAGCGTATGATGGAAGGAAGCAGAGAAAAGCCCTAAAATCAGAGCCCTGAGGGAGGGGCACAAAGACAGGGAAAGATAAAGATGTGGGGATGGATTGCAGAGACTCCAAAAGGGAACTAGAGAGACTGAGAGGCAGAGAAAGACAAGGAGATGGAGAGAGACAGATGATAGATGGATAGATAGATATAGATAGATGAAAGATAAAAGGTATATGATAGATAATAGAGAGACAGGTGATAGACAAATAGATGATGAATGACTGATAGATGATATAGATAGACAAGTAGAAAGACAGACAGATGATATATAAATAGATATAGAGAGATAGAAAGACAGATAAACACATGATGATAGATGGATAGATGCATACATACATACATTGATTGATAGATGATAGATAACAGAGAGATAGGTCATAGATACACAGATGATGATAGATGATAGATACATACATAGATAAATGATAGATCGATCAATAGATAGTAGATAGAAATATGCAGAAAGTTATGAGCAAGACAGAAAGTGAGAGACTCAGAATTAAAGAAAGAGGAAGATCAAGTCAACCAGTCCAAGGAGGGTCAGAGAGAATAAAATGGTACAAAAAAAGAAAACATAGCTAGGGATGGAGAAGTGAGGTCAGAGACCTAGAGAGACAGAGAAGGTGGAAGGAGGAAATAGACATGAAGAGAGATGGGGGTGGAGGGTGAGAGAGAGAAAGAGAGCATTAAGTCATAGAGCAGGGGAGTGAGTTCTCAGCTCAGGTGTGAGGAGAGCTGTGACAAGGAAGAACCTCCCTGAGGAAACCACCTCTTCTTCTTCCAGGTCTATATGGGAAACCTTCTCTCTCAGCCCAGCCGGGCCCCACGGTTCAGGCAGGAGAGAATGTGACCTTGTCCTGCAGCTCCCGGAGCTTGTTTGACATTTACCATCTATCCAGGGAGGCAGAGGCCGGTGAACTTAGGCTCACTGCGGTGCTGAGGGTCAATGGAACATTCCAGGCCAACTTCCCTCTGGGCCCTGTGACCCACGGAGGGACCTACAGATGCTTCGGCTCTTTCCGTGCCCTGCCCCACGCGTGGTCAGACCCGAGTGACCCACTGCCCGTTTCTGTCACAGGTGAGAAAACACCATGCCTGTCCCATGTCTTGTGATCCTAGAGCCATAGCTGAGGAGCTTCCTGCTGATGATGGAGAGAAGCATGGACAGATGCCGAGACAGAACACACAGCATGGGTGTAAGGGCGGGGTCAGGGCGCAGGATGGCAGACAGGGCACCTCCAAACCCTCCTGTATGGCCTGCAAGGAGGCCCTTGATCAGGGTTCCAGGCACCCAGGCAGATGGAGAAAGAGGTCAGAACAGACCCAGAGGAGGGAGACTGGGCTCTGCCTGGGGAGATCAGAGGTTCTCTCAGCCCCTCAACCTTACCCACTTCCCAGAAGCCCATCCTGGCCTGTCACCCACAGAGAGATGTCATCACCAGCAACGCCTACACCCTTTTCTTTTTGTTTGAAGAAATATTTATTGAGGTGAAATATACCTATGTAATTTACCACCTTTACCATTTTTAAGTGTGAAGTCTACTGTTCATAAATACATTTATAGGCTGGGCACGGTGGCTCACGGTTGTAATCCCAACACTTTGAGAGGCCAAGGCAGGTGGATCATTTGAGATCAGGGGCTCAAGACCACCCTGGCCAACATGGGGAAAATCCATCTGTACTAAAAATACAAAATAATAATAATAATGATAATAATTAGCCGAGCATGGTGGCACATGCCTGTAGTCCCAGCTACTTGGGAGGGTTGGGCAGGAGTTGCACTTAATTGCAGGAGGCGGAGGTTGCAGTGAGCTGAGATCATGCCACTGCACTGCAGCCTGGGCAACAGAGAGAGACACTCTCTCAAAATTAATTAATTAATTAATTAGTATTCTTTTTTTTTTACCCTCCACCCTTCCCTTCCTGGCCTCTGGTAGCCACCATTCTACTCTCTACCTTTGTGAGATCCACCTTTTAGCTCCTGCATATGAGTGAGAAATGGAAATACTTGTAATGACCTCCAGTTCCATTCATGTGGCTGTAAATGACAGGATGTTACTCTTTCTATGGATGAGTTGTCCCTATTGTGTGTGTGTACCACATTCTCTCCATCCATTCACCCACTGATGGGCGGGTAGGTTGATCCACATCTTGGCTACTGTGAACACTGCTGGAACAGTCATGGGAGTGCAGATGTCACTTCGATACGCTGATGTCCTTTCCTTTGGGTTTACACCCAGTCATGGAATTGCTAGATCCTCTGGAAGTGTCTTTTTACATTTTGTTTTATGGTTTTTGTTTTTGTTTTTGTTTTTTTTAGACAGTTTCACTCTTGTTGCCCAGGCTGGAGTGCAGTGGTGCCATCTGGGCTCACTGCAACCTCCACCTCCAGGATTCAAGAGATTCCCCAGCCTCAGCCTCCCAAGTAGCTGGGTTACTGGCTCCCACCACCACACTCGGCTAATTTTTATATTTTTAGTAGAGACAGAGTTTCGCTATATTGGCCAGGCTGCTCTTCAACTCCTGACCTCAAGTGACCTACCCACCTCGGCCTCCCAATGTGCTGGGATTACAGGCATGAACCACTGTGCCCGACCTCATTTTATTTTTTGAGGAACTTCCATACTCTTCTCCTCTGTAATGGCTGTACTAATTTACATTCGTATCAGCAGTGTACCAGATGCAACCCTGGTTGACTCAGCAGAGCAAGAGACGTGCAGTAAGAGAGAATTTAGCTTATTTATGCACACGACACTTCCACTCACTCACTCGTTCAGCCAATGCCCCATGCTCTGGCTGTGCAGTGTGGAATCTTTTCCTATTGTTGCCATAACAAATTTCCACAAGCTTCGTGGATGAAAACATGTTTTTCTTAATTATCTCACAGTGCTGTAACTCAGAAGTATGAACTGCATTTCACTGGGCTGATATCAAAGGGAGAGTAAGGCTGGATTTCTTTTTAAGGTTCCAAGCAAGAATCTGCTCCTTAACGTTTCCCAGCTCCTAGAGGCTCCCACGTTCCTGGGCCCCTGGTCCCCTTCCTCCTTCCTCCTTCCTCAAAGCCCACAAAGGCTGGTCACGTCTCACATGGCATCATTCAGACTCTTCTTCTTTACCCATACCTTTTTCTCTGAATCCTGCTCTGCCTTCTTCCTCATCTTTTAAGGACTTTGGGATTCTATTGGGGTCACCAAGATAATCCATCTCAATCTCCCTAAAATCATCCAGCGTACCCTCTTTTTAAGTTCAGCTGATTAGCAACCGTAATGCCATCTGCAATCTTCATTCCTCCTTTCCTGTAAAATAACATATTCACAAGCTATGGAGGCTAAGACAGGGACATTTTGGGGGTGGGGCAGCATTCTCCTGCCTTCCACAAATGGTAAACAGGATGCATTTGGCCTCTGCTCTTGGGACGCTGATATTGCAGATGGGTAAATGCGAGGGCAGAGAATGAATGCACAAGGGTACCAATAAATGAATGATCCATTGGGAAGCATCTGTGCACCAAATCTGGGGTTTTTTGTGTGTGTGTGTTTTTTTTGTTTTCTTTTTTTTTTTTGAGTAGAGTCTCTCTCTGTTCCACAGGCTGGAGTGCAGTAGCACAATCTCAGCTCATTGCAACCTCTGCCTCCTGGGTTCATGCAATTCTCCTGCCTCAGCCTACCGAGTAGCTGGGATTACAGCTGTGCGCCACCACACTCGGCTAATTTTTTTGGTATATTTTTTAGTAGAAATGAGGTTTCACCATGTTGTGCAGGCTGTCTCAAACTCCCAATCTCAAGTGATCCCACCGCCTTAGCGTCCCTAAGTGCAAAGATTACAGGCGAGAGCTACTGCGCCCAGCCAGGATTTAAAATAAGTAATAGATAATGCTGAGTATATAATTTCAGGTGACAGAGAAGGTCTCACTGATCAGATAATATTTGTGACCTTAATGGAAAAAATGGATTCAACCCTTGGAAGATTGGCGGAAGGATTTTCCACACTGAGCTCTCAGCCGTGAAGGCACAAAGGTGGAAACATTCTTAGTTCAAGGAAGAGGCTCTGCCTCAAATGCTGGGAATGAGATGGGGAGAATGACAAGACAACTGTAGAGAGATGGAGAGCACACTGGGTACACAGGAAACTAAGGAGGAACAAGGAGCGTGTGTTTGACACTCACAGCCCTTGGATTCAACTCAGAGCTAACTAGGAATCCCTACATGATTAACAGTGACCGACATGAAAATAAGGGAGGCCCAGGTGCGTAACTGGAATCTAGGAGACCGTGGAAAAGGCAATTCCCGCCCCACTGGTGAAACGTAGGGTTGATTTACACACTAAATGAATAAAAGATGGATATAAGCTATGCTTGTGAGGTAGAATCATTTGCAGGGAGGGCTTGCTGGGTTTGATTTTTCCTAGTAGTTTAATCCTTGTTTCATTAATTTCTTTCTGAGATGTGTTTTTTTTCTACATCTAAATCAATACCTGGCAGAGGAGCGATAGACACATGAGGGGTGGTGCAAATGAAGGGACCTAGTATAATATAATATACAAGACTGTGGATGGGGGCTCACACCTGTAACCCAACACTTTGGGAGGCCAAGGCGGGTAGATCACTTAAGGGTAGGAGTTTGAGACCAGCCTGGCCAACATGGTGAAACCCCGTCTGTACTAAAAATACAAAAATTAGCCTGGTGCATTGGCACCTGCCTGTAATCCCAGCGACTGGGGAGGCTGAAGCAGAAGAATGGCTTCAACCCTGGAGGCAGAGGTTGAACTGAGATCGCATCACTGCACTCCAGCCTGACACAGGGGGACTCTGTCTCAAAAAATAAAAATAAAACATACATAATTATGACACACAGAAATTACAAAGGCAACTGGATACCAACCATCATTTTTCTATTTCTCTGTGTTTAATTCTTTGACCCTTTATCTTATCCATTAAACAATCAGGTTAAACCTCTTCCTTATTTGGCTTTCTGTGAGCTTGGGATCATATGGAAAATGTGAAAGCCTCCTGAACCCACCAGCACAGGTCCTGGAATAGAGAACGTGCTCTGTTCATGGCATAAAACTTGCCCCTTCACCCAAATCCCCCAATTCATCTCTACTTCCAATCACCTATGGAGATACAGATAGATCATGGGGAGGTAAACACTAATACTCTTTGGAGTGAGCTCAGATCTTGGACTCAGAGACCAGTGCCAGCACTAGCCCCTGGTCACATTTCGTACTAACTCACAGAAGGACAGGCTGTATTGAAACAATAAACGACGGAGAGGGCGGTCCTTCCCCGTGCTTCTCGGGTGGAATAGCAGCCTAATATATGTCTCAGCAGATCACAAAAAGTAGCATGTTGTTCCTGGGCTACATCATTATTTCATGGCTGTTTGATTTAAGTCAGTTCTACTTCACTTTTTTTATCTTGATTTCATTTTTTCTTTCTTTTCTTGGAGAATGTAATTTTTTTTGAGTCAAGAGGGTTGTGGTGGTAGAAACTGTAAAGCACATTCGCTGTGTATCAATCCCAATCCAGTCTTCCCAGAGAAGATTCTAAACACCTCCTGGAATGCACCTGGGCCTATACCAATTCCTATCACTCACCGTCACTCCAGGGAGACAGAACACACAGAGAACACATTACACAGGCAGGTTCATTACTAACAGATAAGCAGCGAGTGACAACAGAAACCTACATTTCAATGTGAGCCAGTCCCTCAAGGCTCAGAAAAGCTGCTCGAGACATGTGGAGTCACCCCATATGCAGTGTATCTGGGGGAAATCAAAAAGCAGCCCAGCCTGGGTTTTGTACCCTGGAGCCACAGGAAGCACTCAGCTAAAGCACTGCATGACGTCCTCCTCCAGGAAGAACAGGAAGACAGCCCAGGCTGTTCTGGGATGTTCCTCCTGATCTCAGGACGTTGCTGTCTTAGTCCATTTTTGTTGCTCTAAAGGAACACTTGAGCCTGGGTAACTTCTAAAGAAAAGAAATGTGTTTGCCTCACAGTTCTGCAGGCTGTACTGGAAGCATGGCACCAGCATCTATTTCTTGTGACGGCCTCAGGCTGCTCCCACTCTGGCAGAAGGGAAGGAGGGTCTGTCTGTGCAGAGACCACAGAGATCACACGGCAAGAGAGGGACCAAGGGGGAGGGGGAGCGATGGAGCTTCCAAGCTCTTTTAACAACCAGTTCTCCAGGAACTAATAGAGGGGGAACTTGCTAACCCCGTCTCCTTGGAACAGCATTGATCTGTTCATGATGGATCCACCTCCATGACCCAAACAACTCCCAAGAGGCCCAACCTCCCACCCTGGGGGTTACATTTCAATGTGAGGTTTGAAGGGGTCAAACATCTAAACTAAAGCAGTTGTATCCTCAGCACGTTCTATGGTTACTACAACTGAGAAAGCAGGAGGAAGCTAGGTCTCCCGCCATCTGGGTGCTTGTCCTAAAGAGACGTTGTATGTGGTTACCTGTCAATCAAGAAATGTGAGACAATTCATATAGAGGAACTGCTATGATTAGCTTCTTATTGGTGTCTTGTCTTCCTCCAGGTAACTCCAGACACCTGCACGTTCTGATTGGGACCTCAGTGGTCATCATCCCCTTTGCTATCCTCCTCTTCTTTCTCCTTCATCGCTGGTGTGCCAACAAAAAGAGTAAGTCTCACGAAGCAGAAGCCAGAGAGCTCAGGGCCATGTGGGGAAGCAGGATGGGAGCACTCAGGTGTGTGTTCCTCACAGGCAGGATGGTCCCTGGCCCAAGGCAGGAGCCACAGAGGCAGGACTTTCTAGAGAGAGCACCAGACTCCCTGCCTCTGCCTTCAGCTCACAGACCATTGCCTGATTCTGAACCGTATCCTCACATCCCCTGCAGCCACTCACATCCAGGAGAAGGTTCCATGACAGGCAGAAAGTGGGACACAGAATCAATAGGATGGGAACTCAGAGCTATACATGGGATGGATCCTTGAGCTCAGAGAGATAGAATGTCTGAGTCTGCTGTTGGCAACTGAGGGACCTCAGGCACCTATGGCCTCCCCCTGTATGTTGGTATCTGCTTATGAAATGAGGACCCAGAAGTGCCCTCCGAGCTGTTTTGACGACTTCCGTCTTCTACAGATGCTGTTGTAATGGACCAAGAGCCTGCAGGGAACAGAACAGTGAACAGGGAGGTAGGTGCTCCTCCGCCCAGCCTCGTGGCTAGTCTTATTCCCAAAGAGTCCTGGAAAATGTGAGCACCCTCCCTCACTCAGCATTTCCCTCCCTCCAGGACTCTGATGAACAAGACCCTCAGGAGGTGACATACGCACAGTTGAATCACTGCGTTTTCACACAGAGAAAAATCACTCGCCCTTCTCAGAGGCCCAAGACACCCCCAACAGATACCAGCGTGTAACACGGAACTTCCAAATGCTGAGCGCAGATCCAAAGTTGTCTTCTGTCCACTAGCACCACAGTCAGGCCTTGATGGGATCTTCTAGGGAGACAATAGCCCTGTCTCAAAACCGGGTTGCCAGCTCCCATGTACCAGCAGCTGGACTCTGAAGGCGTGAGTCTGCATCTTAGGGCATCGCTCTTCCTCACACCACGAATCTGAACATGCCTCTCTCTTGCTTACAAATGTCTAAGGTCCCCACTGCCTGCTGGAGAGAAAACACACTTGCTTAGCCCACAATTCTCCATTTCACTTGACCCCTGCCCACCTCTCCAACCTAACTGGCTTACTTCCTAGTCTACTTGAGGCTGCGATCACACTGAGGAACTCACAATTCCAAACATATAAGAGGCTCCCTCTTAACACGGCACTTAGATACGTGCTATTCCACCTTTCCTCAGAGTATCTTTCAGCCTTCTGTCAGCAGTAAAACTTATAAATTTTTTTTATAATTTCAATGTAGTTTTCTCTTCTTCAAGTAAACATGTCTGCCCTCATGGTTTCGTCAATGGGACTCTTTTCTTGCCTAAGGCTTCCGGTGTTATCATTACCACGTCCACATAACCCCATCTGTTCTCCGCTGGGTTCTCACCCCTGGACTCTGAGCTTCTGGAAGCAGGGTGGAGCCTGAATTGTCTCTGAGACTCCAATTTCCATCCAAAGATGCAGCACATAGGAGGTTCCAAGGATGGTGAATCAGATGAACAAGTGATATTCTTACTCTCTGCAGATCTGGAAAGCTGGCAGAGTCATTCCACGATGAAACATTTGTAGAGTCATAGGCCTTGTTAGTCTCATCTCCACAGGGACACGTATCAACACATCATCTTTCATACTACTATAAATAGACAGTCACTCCTCCATATCTCTGGGGTTTACACATGTTTATTGAATCAGCAATAAATCAAAAATATTTTGAGAAAAAAAATCCCCGAAGTTTCAAAAAGCAAAAAACTATGTTGAATCGACACAAATTGAGTGGCGTGTAGGCTGTGTCAGGAATTATAAGTAATCAAGAGATGATTTCATGTATACAGGAGGATGTGCATGGGTTCTATGCAATTGCTATGCTATTTTTTTTTTTTTTGAGACAGTCTCACTCTCTCACCCAGGCTGGAGTGCAGTGGCGTGATCTCAACTCACTGCAACCTCCGCCTTCCAGGTTCAAGCGATTCTCTTCCCTCAGCCTCCCCAGTAGCCTCCCCTAGGATTACAGGCACGTGCCACCCTGCACAGATAAATTTTTTTGTGTGTATATTTTTAGTAGAGATGGGGTTTCAGAATGTTGGACCAGCTGGTCTTGAACTCCTGACCTTGTGATCTACCCAGCTCAGCCTCCCAAAGTGCTGGGATTACAGGCGTGAGCCACGGTGCCCAGCTTCACTATGCCATTTCATGCAAGGGGCTTGAGCATCTGCAGATTTTGGTATCTGAATGGGGATCCTGGAACCAATCACCCAGGTATAGTGAAGGACCATGGTATATAATTTTTATTTGTCAATCTTAAAAATAAAGCATAAAAAATTTACAACAACAAGATAAAAAATAAGAAGTGTTTTTATAGTGTGAGGATAAGTTTAGATTTATTTTTTCCTACGTGTAACCCTATGGTCCTGTGTTATTTGTTGAGAAAATATTCTATTCCACCTTAAACTACATGGCAGCCTTTGTCAACTATAAAGGGACTGTGTATCCACAGATGTATTTTAGACACAGTTTTCTGTCCAGTGGTTCTCTGTATCCCCTCTCATGAGGATGCTGCATTTTATATAAACTTATAGAACCCCTTAAAATTTGGTAACCTGAGTCCTCTGATTTGTTATTATAGGTTATTTAGTTTGCTTTTTTTTTTTTTCTTGAGACAGACTCTTCCTCTGTCACCCAAGCTGGAGTTCAGTGGCTTGAGCTCAGCTCACTGCAACCTCCGTCTCCCAGGTTCAAGCTATTCTGATGCCTCTGGTTTAGTAGTAGAAACTCAAGCAGGAAAATTAGAATGGCTTCTTGTCACAATTACTCTGATAATGTTAATAATACCTGTTAGACATTTTGCACATTACATATGAAGAAGAGTTTGAATCTCAGATAAAAACAAAAATACATCAAAAATCTTTAATGTAAGCACAGAATTCAATCATCTCGTGTATGAGAGGTTGGATCTGAGACGTCTTTTGAGTCTGGTCGTAGTGAAGGACGCAAGGTGTCAATTCTAGTGAGAACAATTTCCAGGAAGCCATGTTCCGCTCTTGAGCGAGCACCCACTGGGCCTCATGCAAGGTAGAAAGAGCCTGCGTACGTCACCCTCCCATGATGTGGTCAACATGTAAACTGCATGGGCAGGGCGCCAAATAACATCCTGTGCGCTGCTGAGCTGAGCTGGGGCGCGGCCGCCTGTCTGCACAGACAGCACCATGTCGCTCATGGTCGTCAGCATGGTGTGTGTTGGTGAGTCCTGGAAGGGCATCGAGGGAGGGAGTGCGGGGATGGAGATCGGGGCCCAGAGTTGGAGATATAGGCCTGGAAGTGGAGTTATGGGCCTAGAGATGGAGTGATGGGCCTAGAAGTGGAGATCTGGGCCTGGAGTGGAGATCTGGGCCTGGAGTGGAGATATGGGCCTGGAGGTTGAGATATGGGCCTGCAGTAGAGATATGGGCTTGTAGTGGAGACATGGGCCTGGAGATGGAGATATGGGCCTGGAGATGGAGATATGGGCCTGCAGTAGAGATAGGGGCCTGGAGTGGAGATATGGGCCTGGAGTGGAGATATGGGCCTGGAGGTGGAGATATGGGCCTGGAGGTGGAGATATGGGCCTGGAGTGGAGATATGGGTCTGGAGGTGGAGATACGGGCCTGCAGTAGAGATATGGGCCTGGAGTGGAGATATGGGCCAGGAGTGGAGTTATGGGCCTAGAGATGGATATCTGGGCCTGGAGTGGAGATATGGGCCTAGGAAGGAGATATGGGCCTGGGTGTGGAGATATGGGACTGGAGAGGTGATATGGGCCTGGAGTGGAGATATGGGCTTAGGGTGGAGATCTGGGCCTGGGGCGGAGATATGGGACTGGATTGGAGATAGGGGCCTAGGGTGGAGATCTGAGCCTGGATTGGCGATATGGGCCTAGGGTGGAAATATCAGCCTGGAGTGGAGATATGGGCTTGGGGTGGGGATATGGGCCTGGAAACTGGGTCTCTGCACAGCCGACAGCCCTGTTCTTGGGTGCAGGTAGGCACTGAGGGTGAGTTTAACTTCAGCCCAGGAAGGGCCTGGCTGCCAAGACTCACAGCCCAGTGGGGGCAGCAAGGGAGGCCTGGTTTGCCTGCAGATGGATGGTCCATCATGATCTTTCTTTCCAGGGTTCTTCTTGCTGCAGGGGGCCTGGCCACATGAGGGTGAGTCCTTCTCCAAACCTTCGGGTGTCATCTCCCCACATAAGAGGATTTTCCTGAAACAGGAGGGAAGTCCTGTCGGGGAGTCTCTCATAAACTAGGAAGAGAGGACCCTGGGGTGCTCAGCCCACATTTCTGACCTCGCCTCCCTGGCCTCTCAACCCCTTGGCAGAGTCAAGTTCTGTGGGGACCAGGGTTAGACTGGGGTGCTCAAAGCTGGGGTGTGTGGTTGGGAAGTGGTAGGAACAGCAGATCCTCTGAGGACAAAGGTGTTACTCACACACTTCAGCGTTTCCATGATGGTAGGGGCTGCAGTGTGGCTGCTGTCATTCTACCAGAAGAGGTGGGAAACCACAGCCATGGCCCTGACATTCCAAATCCTCTGATGGGGGCTCAGTTGTTTATTTTCGTTCAGGCATCCGCTGATATCCATTCACAAAGGACATGCCCTCCACCTCATGTCTACCCTGTGTTGTTTTATGTGAGTAATCTTACAGTATTAAAATCTAGTAGGAGTCTCTTTACTCAGCACTTGCTCAAAGTTCTCAGCTGAGGCTTTTGTTGTAGGGAGACACCATGTCTTTGCGGGATGGGTCCTTCCTTCAGCCCTGGGCACCAAGGTGTGATAGTAGCCATAGAAACGTGGAAAGCGAGGAGAATCTTCTGAGCACAGGGAGGGAAGGGCAGTTCCACATCCTCCTCTCTAAGGCGGCGCCTCCTTCTCCCCAAGGTGGTCAGGACAAGCCCTTGCTGTCTGCCTGGCCCAGCCTTGTGGTGCCTCTAGGACATGTCATTCTTCGGTGTCACTCTTATCTTGGGTTTAACAACTTCAGTCTGTAAAAGGAAGGTGGGGTGCCTGTCCCTGAGCTCTACAACAGAATATTCTGGAACAGCCTTTTCATGGGCCCTGTGACCCCCGCACACACAGGGACATACAGATGTCGGGGTTCACACACACACTCCCCCAGTGGGTGGTCAGCACCCAGCAACCCCCTGGTGATCGTGGTCATAGGTCAGAGGGCTCCTGTCTTGGATTCTCCTTGTCCCACCTCCTGAATCCCAGAGCTTCTGTTGGGCATGTCCTTGAGGGTCCCATCACGCAGGCCCTGACTGTATTTGTGGTAAAGGGGGATTGAATACAGGGAAATGGGTGCTGTGGTGGGAAGAATAATTGTCCCCAGTGATGACTACATTCTAATCCCTGGAGTCTGTGACTATTTATGTTATAGGGGAAGGGACTGAAGGGGAAGATGGAGCTCATGGGGAGACAGCCTGGACTGTCCCACTGGGCTCAGTGTAATCACAAGGGTGCACATGAAAGGAGGAGGAAGAGGGGAGTGGGGATTAGAGCAGTCCAGTGGAAGTCTTCACCAGCTTTGAAGGTGGAGGAAGGCCAAGATCCATGAATGCAGGTGGCCTATAGAGGCTGGAAAAGTCAAGGAACTGATTCTCCAGAGTCTCCAGAGGGAACAAAGCCCTGCAGATGCCTTGATTTTAGCCCAGGAAAAATAGGGTCCAATTTCTGTCTCCAGTACTGGAAGGTGTCAGTGTGGTCTCTCCTGCTGCCATGCTTCTGATAATTTTCTACAGCAGCAACAGGAAACCAACACTGGAACCCAGGTCAAGGACAAGTTAAGAAACAACCCAAGGAAAGCCAGGCATGGTGGCAGGTGCATGTAATCCTAGCGACTCAGGAGGCTGAGGGCAGGAGAATCACTTGAACCCAGGAGACAGAGGTTGCAGTGAGCCTAGACCACACCACTTCACTCCAGCCTGGGTGAAGGAGTGAGACTCTGTCTCCATAATTAATTAATTAATTAAAGAAACCAAACAAGGAGAAGGTTGGCTACCCTGAGATCAGCAAGGGTGGGATGATGATGCCACCACCAGGCTCCATCCACATAGGGAGGGGTTGATACTCCTCCAACCAGCACCAGGAGCCAGCCTATGGAAGCTGGCACCATGGAGAAGGCACAGGCATGGCAAGAGTGGCTCCCAGTCCCCACCAGGAACAGGGTGTGTGGACACTGGTGCCTGCCTTATTCATCAGTTCATACCTTCTGCCAAGGATTGCAATTCATCCAAAAGAGATTGAACCAGGCTGATAAGAGCCTGGATGTGCAGCCTATCCTGGTTCCTCTTTCACCCCCACATAAACAGCAGGAAATACATTAGTGTGAAATAGATACAACACCCCAAGAGATGAGGCTCAGCCCAGTGGGAAGGGAATCAGAGGCTACTAGAGACAGAGGGACAGAGAAGAGGGAGGGAGACAGATGGAAGGACCTGCACCAGGAGTTAAGGGCACAGAAAAGAACATGAAGACACAGAGAGGAAGGAGAGAGACAGACACCAGCAAGGGGAAGCCTCACTCATTCTAGGTGCCATGGATGGGATGATAAAGAGAGACACCTTCTAAACTCACAACCTCTCTTCCTAGGAGTCCACAGAAAACCTTCCCTCCTGGCCCACCCAGGTCCCCTGGTGAAATCAGAAGAGACAGTCATCCTGCAATGTTGGTCAGATGTCAGGTTTCAGCACTTCCTTCTGCACAGAGAAGGGAAGTTTAAGGACACTTTGCACCTCATTGGAGAGCACCATGATGGGGTCTCCAAGGCCAACTTCTCCATCGGTCCCATGATGCAAGACCTTGCAGGGACCTACAGATGCTACGGTTCTGTTACTCACTCCCCCTATCAGTTGTCAGCTCCCAGTGACCCTCTGGACATCGTCATCACAGGTGAGAGTGTCCGGACATTCTCATTGTCATTGGGATGCAGAGTGAATGATCCACGACTTGGAACCCCCAGGTAGTTGTAAGGAAGATGAGCTTGGTATTCTTATGGAGAGAGACTGACTTGCTGAGGTTTGTACCAACAGAGACAGAGAAACAGGAGACACAAGTACAGACCAGGTGTCATAACAGAGGACAGACACAGGGGCCATACAGGGAGTTAGAAAAGACAGAAAGAGTTAAAAGAGACAGACAGACAGACATGTCCCAGAGAGAGGTGTCCCTCCATGCTGACTTTGCTCACAGACCTGGCACAGGTTAGAAGTTTCATTTCTGTTTTACCTCCACAAAGTGTTCTCTACCAGGAGAACCCAAGGACACCCATATTTATGACCTGAGTTGGGCCCTGTGGCCTCAGGCCTTGTGGCACCTACAGGCCATGTTTATTCTGACACCTCTGCCTTCCATGTAATGGAGAGTAATCGTCCCAGGATATCATGGCCCCAGAACACCAACCCCTGTATGCTGTGTGAACTTGTGGTCTCCAGACTGGATTCTGTGGCTCACATTCCAAATAACCCCACATATGAAAGGATCACTGAGAGGCACAGAGAAAAATCAGGAACACCAAAAAGCAAAGACATAAACACACAGAGAATGAGCCAGAGGAAGGAGATTGAGAGACTCACAGACACATAAAGAGAGAGAAAAGAGGGCAGAGGAGTGGTGAGAATGATGGCAGGGAGCAGAGAAAAGCACTAAAATTAGAGTCCTGAGAGAGAGGCACAAGGACATAGAAACATGGAGATGTGGGGATGAATTGCAGAGATTCCAAAGAGAACTAGAGAGACCGAGAGGCAGAGCAAGACAGATGATAGATGGATAGATATAGATAGATGATAAATAGGTAGATGATAGATAATAGGTTAAAGATACATAGATGATGATTGATTGATTCATTAATAGATAATACATAGAGATGATGATGATGAAGACAGATAATACGTACAGATAGAGAGGCAGACAGAAATCATAGAGAGAGAGATGATACATACATATAAATAACAGATGATTGATGGATAGATAGACAAGTGATAGATACATAGATGATATATAGATATAGATGACAGGTAGAGAATTTGTAGATAGGCACCGAATAGATAAATAGATAGATCGACAGATAATAGATAGAAATATGCAGAAAGTTATGAACAGGACACAACGTGAGAAACTTAGAATTTAAAAAAGTAACATCAAGTCAACCAATCCAAGGAGAGTCAGAGAGAATAAAAGAATCCAAAAAGGGAAAACATATCTAGAGGTGGGGAAGCGAGGTCAGAGACCTAGAGAGACAGAGAAGGTGGAAGAAGGAAATAGACATGAAGAGAGATGGGGTGGAGGGTGAGAGAGAGAGAGAGAGAGAGCATTAGGTCATAGAGCAGGGGAGTGAGTTCTCAGCTCAGGTGAAGGGAGCTGTGACAAGGAAGATCCTCCGTAAGGAAAATGCCTCTTCTCCTCCAGGTCTATATGAGAAACCTTCTCTCTCAGCCCAGCCGGGCCCCACGGTTCTGGCAGGAGAGAGCGTGACCTTGTCCTGCAGCTCCCGGAGCTCCTATGACATGTACCATCTATCCAGGGAGGGGGAGGCCCATGAACGTAGGTTCTCTGCAGGGCCCAAGGTCAACGGAACATTCCAGGCCGACTTTCCTCTGGGCCCTGCCACCCACGGAGGAACCTACAGATGCTTCGGCTCTTTCCGTGACTCTCCATACGAGTGGTCAAACTCGAGTGACCCACTGCTTGTTTCTGTCACAGGTGAGGAAACCCCATATCTGTCTCATGTCCTATGATCCTAGAGCCTTAGCTGAGGAGCTTCCTGCTGATGATGGAGAGAAGCATGGACAGATGCAGAGAGAAGACGAAGCTTGGGTGTGAGGGAGGGATCAGGGCACAGGATGGCAGACAGGGCACCTCCAAACCCTCCTACACGGCCTGCATGAAGGCCCGCGGCCAGGGCTCCAGGCACACAGGCAGATGGAGAAAACGGTCAGGAGAGACCCAGAGGAGAGAGACTGGGCTCAGTTTGGGAAGATCAGAGGTTCCCTCAGCCCCTCAACATTACCCATTTCCCAGAAGCCCATCCTGGCCTCTCACCCACACAGGGATGTCATCACCAGCAACCCCTACACCCTTTACTTTTGTTTGAAGAAATATTTATTGAGGATAAATATACCTATATAGCTTACCACCTTTAACATTTTTTTTTTTTTTGAGGCAGAGTCTAGCTCTGTCCCCTATGCTGGAGTGCAGTGGCACAATCTCAGCTCACTGCAACTTCCGCCTCCTGGGTTCAAGTGATTCTCCTGCTTCAGCCACCTGAGTAGCTGGTGCTACAGGCGCGCACCACCACGCCAGGCTACTTTTTGTATTTTTAGTAGAGAGGGGGTTTCACCATGTTGGTCGAGCTGGTCTCCAACTCCTGACCACGTGATCCACCCGCATCTGCCTCCCAAAGTGCTGGGATTACAGGCATGAGCCACCACGCCCAGCCACATTTACCATTTTTAAGTGTAAAGTCTAGTGGTCATAAATACATTTATATATATATATATATATATATATACACACACACACACATATATAAACATATATATATATATATATATATATATATATATATTTTTTTTTTTTTTTTTTACCCTCCACCCTTTTATTCCTGGCCTCTGGAAGCCACCATTCTACTCTCTACCTTCATGAGATCCACCTTTTAGCTCTGTATATGGGTGAGAAATGGGAATCTTTGTAATGACTTCCAGTTCCATCCATGTGGCTGCAAATATCAGGATGTTATTCTTTCTATGGATGAGTAGTCTCCACTGTGCGTATGTACTACATTCTCTCTATCCATTCATCCACTGATGGGCAGGTAGGTTGACTCCACATCTTGGCTACTGTGAACAGTGCTGCACCAATCATACGAGTGCAGATATCACTTCGATATATTGATTTACTTTCCTTTGGATATAAACCCAGTAGTGAAATTGCTGGATACTATGAAAGTTCTCTTTTTAGTTATTCGTTTGTTGTTTTGTTTTTGTTTTTGAGACAGTTTCCCTCTGTGCCCAGGCTGGAGTACAAGTGAAGTCATCTTGGCTCATTGCAACCTCCGCCTCCTGGGTTCAAATGATTTTCCTGCCTCAGCCTCCCTAGTAGCTGGGATTACAGGTGCACGCCACCATGCCTGGCTACTTTTTGTTTTTTTTAGTATAGATGGGGTTTCCCCATGTTGGCTGGGCTGCTCTCAAACTCATGACCTCAACTGAGGTGCCCGCCTCGGTCTCCCAAAGTGCCGGGATTACAGGCATGATCCACCTCACCCAACCTCTTTTTAGTTCTTTAAAGGACTTCCACACTTTTCTCCGTAAAGGCTGTACTAATTTACACTCCTACCAACAGGGTATTAGGGTTCTCCTTTCTCTACCACTTTGGCAGGATTTCCTTTGCCTGTCTTGCAGCTAAAAGCCATTTTATTTTATTTCATTTTATTTTGAGATGGAGTTTCGCTCTTGTCACCCAGGCTGGAGTGCAGTGGTGCGATCTCGGCTCACCACAACCTCCACCTCCCAGGTTCAAGCGATTCTCCTGCCTCAGCCTCCCGAGTAGCTGGAATTACAGGCACACGCCACCACGCCCAACTAAATTTTGTATTTTTAGTAGAGACAGTGTTTCTTCATGTGGGTCAGACTGGTCTCAAACTCCCGACCTTATGAGGTTCACCCACCTCAGGCTCTCAAAGGTCTAGGATGACAGACGTGAGCCACCACGCCCGGCCTAAAATCCATTTTAATGGGGTGAGATGAAAACTCACTTTGATTTTAATTTGTGTTTCTCTGATGATGAGTGAAACTGAGCACTTTTTAGTATGTGGGGAAATTTCATGTGTTTTGCTCCTTTTTCAATTAAATCGTTTGTTTTATTGAGTTGTTTGAGCTTCTTATATTTCTAGTTATTAATCCCATCTCAGATGCATAGTTTGCACATATTTGCTCCCAATCTGTGGGTTGTCTCTTCACTTTGTTGGTTTATTTTTAGCGGTGCAGAAGTTGCTTAGTTTGAGGTAATCCCAATGGTCTATTTTTGCTTCGATTACTTGTGTTTTGAAGGTTTAAAACAAAATGTCTTCCTTCAGACAAATGTCCTGGAGCATTTCCCCAATATTTTCTTCTACGTGTTTCATAGGTTCAGGCCTTAGACTCACATCTTTAATCCATTTTCATTTGAGTTTTGTGTATAGTGACAGGTAGAGGTGCAGTTTCATTCCTCTGCATGTAGATGTCCAGGTTTCCCTGCACTGTTTATTGAAAAGACTGTCCTTTCCTGATTGTGAGTTCTTGGCACCTTTGTCAAAGTCCATTGGATGGGCTGGGCATGGTGGCTGACACCTGCAATTTCAGCACTTTGGGAGCCCAAGGCGGGTGGATCACCTGAGGCCAGGAGTTCAAGATTAGTCTGGCCGACGTGATGAAACATTGTCTCCACTAAAAATATAAAAATTAGCTGAGCATGGTGGTCAGCACCTGTAATACCACTACTCAGGAGTTTGAGGCCAGAGAATTGATTGAACCCAGGAGGCTGTGGTGGCAGTGAACCGAGATTGCACCTCTGCACTCCAGCCTGGGTGACAGAGCGAGACTCCATCTCAAAAGAAAAAAGAAAAAAACATTGGAGGTAAATGCATGGATTATATCTGTGTTCTTCATTCTGCTCCATTGTTCTACGTGCCTTTCTTTATGCCAATGTGATGCTGTTTTGCTTACTACAGCTCTGTAACATATTTTGAGATCAGGTAGTGTGATGCTCCTGTTTTCTCTTTATACCTTGAAGTCTCAAGACAGTGGGCGTCACATACAAAAATTACGGAAAAAAGGATCCCAGGACTCCCAGGGCCCAATATTAGATAACAGAGTGTTGGCCATGAACCAACCTCAAAGATTTCCATTGAGTAGAGGACAGACACCCTCATTTCCTCACCTCTCTCCTGTCTCGTGTTCTAGGAAACCCTTCAAATAGTTGGCCTTCACCCACTGAACCAAGCTCCGAAACCGGTGAGTACAGAACCCTCTTATATCCGCTTTTGGAAACCTGGGGAGGTAGAAACCTTCGATGCAGGCATTGACTCAGCATCTCGCAGCTCTGACATTGTACGCCTGTCTTCTACCATCTCCGAACTCCAGATACTCCAACAGCGAAAGGGATCTGGGCCCAACCTAGGGCTCAGTGAAATCTCTTAATCTCTCATTTTATGGAGCTGAGACCTCCTACAAGCTAGAAGAATGATTGCCAATCTGACATCCTTCTCAGGAAAAATGCAATGTTTGTTCTGCCTGCATTCCTAACTGGAGGATAAATTCCTGGGGGCTTGAGAGAGGGAAGGGAAGGGAACATCTGATGAGGGCGAGGTGTTTTAGAGAAGTTCCACTTGCCAAGGAATGAATTACTGTTGGTCATGAAGCAACCCTGGCTGACTCAGCAGAGCAACAGCCTTGCCGTAACAGAGAACGGAGCTCATGCACGCACACTTCGACTCACTGACTCATTCAGCCACGGCCCCATGCTCAGGCTGTGCAGTGCGGAACCTTTTCCTATTGTTGCCATAACAAATTTCCACAAGATTCGTGGGTGAAAACAAAACGGTTTTTTAATTATCTTACAGTGCTGTAGCTCAAAGTAGGAAGTGCATCTTACTGGGCTAAAATCAAGGTGACAGCAAGGCTGCCTTCCCTCTGAGGATTCCAGGCAAGAATCTGCTTCTCACTTATCCCAGCTTCTAAAGGCTCCCAGTTCCTTGGCTCCTGTTCCCCTTCCTCCTTCCTCAAAGCCCACAAAGACTGGTCACATCTCACATGGCATCACTCAGTGCCTTCTTCCTTACCACACCTCTTTCTCTGAATGCTGCTCTCCCTTCTTCCTTATCTTTTGAAAACTTGGGGATTCTATTGGGTTCACCAAGATGAAAATCCCTCATAATCTCCTGGAAATCATCCAGGATACCCTTGTTTTAAGTTCAGCTGATTAGCAACCGCAATTCCATCTACAATCTTCATTCCTCCTTTCCATGTAAAATAACATATTCACAAGCTATGGAGGCTAGGACAGGGACATTTTGGGGTGGGACAGCATTCTCCTGCCTTCCACAAACGGTGAACAAGATGCATTTGGCTTCTGCCCTTGGGACACTGATATTGCAGATGGTTAAATGGGAGGGCAGAAAATGAATGCACAAGTGGATCTATAAATGAATGATCCATTGGGAAGCATCTGTGCATGAAATCTATTTTTTGTTTGTTCTTTTGTTTATTGAGACAGAGTCGCCCTCTGTCTTCCAGGCTACAGTGCAGTGTCACGATCTTGGCTCACTGCAACCTGCGTCTCCTGGATTCAAGTGATTCTCCTGCCTCCGCCTCTCGAGTAGCTGGGATTACAGGCAACTGCCACCGTGCCCGGCTAATTCTTTTTGTATATTTTTTGTAGAGAGGATGTTTCACCACGTTGGCCAAGCTTGTCTGAAACTCCCAACCTCAAGTGATCCGACCGTCTCAGCATGCCAAAGTAATGGGACTACAGGCGTGAGCCACTGTGCCCAGCCAGAATTCAAAATCAATAATAGATAATGCTGAGTGTATGATTTCAGGTGACAAAGAAGGTCTCACTATTCAGATATTTGTGACATTAATGAAAAACACGGATTGAACCCCTGAAAGATTGGCGGAAGGATTTTGCACACACAGCTGTCAGCCGTGAAGGCACAAAGGTGAAAACAATCTGATGTGGAAGGAAGAGGCTCTGCCTCAAATGCTGGGAATGATGTGGGGAGAATGACAAGACGACTGTAGAGAGACGGAGAGCACACTGGGTACACAGGAAACTAAGGAGCAACAAGGAGTGTGTGTTTGACACTCACAGCCATTGGATTCACCTCGGGGTAACCAGGAATCCCTACATGATTAATATGACTGACATGAAAATAAGGGAGGCTCAGTTGCATAACTGGAATCTAGGAGACCGTGGAAAAGGCAATTGCCACCCCACTGGTGAAATGTGGTGCTGATTTAGACACTAAATGAATGAAGTAGATGGATATAAGATATGTTTGTGAGGTAGAATCATTGACTGGAAACGCTTACTGGGTTTGATTTTCCTACTTGTTTAATCCTCGCTTAATTAATTTCTTTCTGAGATTTATTCATCCTACACATAAATCAATACCTGGCAAAGGAGTGACAGATATATGAGTGGTGGTGGAAATGAAGAGACTTATTATAGCATAATATACAAGTCTGTGAACAGTGGCTCACGCCTGTAACCTAGCACTGCAGGAGGCCAAGGTGGGTGGATTCCATGAAGTCAGGAGTTCCAGACCAGCCTGGCCAACGTGGTGAAACCCTATCTCTACTAAAAATACAAAAATTAGCCGAGCACGATGGTGCATCCCTGTAATCCCAGCTCCTATTCTGGAGGATGAAGCAGGAGAATGACTTCAACCCAGTAGGTGGAGGTTGCAGTGAGTGGAGATTGCATCACTGCACTCCAGCCTGGGGGACACAAGGAGACTCTATCTCAAAAAATAAAAATAAGAAATACATAAATATAATAAAACACACACGAATGACAAAGGCACCTGAATTCCAATCATCGTTTTTCTATTTCTCTATAATTACTTCTTTGATCCTTTATCTTATCCATTAGGCAATGAGCTTAAAACCTCTTCCCTATTTGGCTTTCTGTGAGAATGAGATCACATAGAAAATGTGAAAGCCCTCAGAATCCTCCAGCACAGATCGTGGAATAGAGAAAGTGCTCTGTTCATCGCAACAAAAAACTTGCCCACTCACCCAAATCCCCCACCTCACCCCTACTTCCAATCACCTGTGGAGATTCAGATAGGCTATGGGGAGGTAAACATTGATACTCCTTGGAGTGAGTCCAGATCTTGGAATCAGAGATCAGTGCCAGCACTAGCTCCTGCTCCCCTTTCCTACTAATTCACAGGAGGACAGGTGGTATTGAAGCAATAGATGGCCGAGGGGGTGGTCCTTCCCCCAGCCTCTCGGGTAGAACAGCAGCCTAACATGTGTCTCCCGAGATCACAAAGAGTAGCACGTTTCACACGGGCTTCAACACTATTTCCTGGCCATTTGACATAAGAGAATTCTACTTAGCTTTTTTTATCTTGATTTCACTTTTGTTTCCTTTTCTTGGAGAATGCAAGTTGTTTGATTCAAGAATGCTGTGGATGTAGAAATCCTAAAGCACATTCGCTGTGTATCAATCCCAGTGCAGTCTTCCCAGAGAAGACTCTAAATACCTCCTGGACTGCACCTGGGCTTATGCCAATTCCTATCACTCACCGTCACTCCAGGGAGACAGAACACACAGAGAATACATTACACAGGCAGGTTCATTACTAACAGATAAGCAGCGAGTGACAACAGAAACCTACATTTCAATGTGAGCCAGTCCCTCAAGGCTCAGAAAAGCTACTCGGGACATATGGAGTCACCCCATTTGCAGTGTAGCTGGGGGAAGCCAGAGAGCAGCCCAGCCTGGGTTTTGTACTGTGGAGCCACAGGAAGCACTCAGCTAAAGCACTGCATGACGTCCTCCTCCAGGAAGAACAGGAAGACAGCCCAGGCTGTTCTGAGACGTTCCTCCTGATCTCAGGACGTTGCTGTCTTAGTCCATTTTTGTTGCTCTAAAGGAACACTTGAGCCTGGGTAACTTCTAGAGAAAAGAGATTGGTTTGCCTCACAGTTCTGCAGGCTGTACTGGAAGCGTGGCACCAGCATCTATTTCTCGTGACGGCCTCAGGCTGCTCCCACTCTGGCAGAAGGGAAGGAGGGTCTGTCTGTGCAGAGACCACAGAGATCACACGGCAAGAGAGGGAGCAAGGGGGAGGGGGAGCGATGGAGCTTCCAAGCTCTTTTGAACAACCAGCTCTCCAGGAACTAATAGAAGGGGAACTTGCTAACCCCGTCTCCTTGGGACAGCATTGGTCTGTTCATGATGGATCCACCTCCATGACCCAAACACCTCTCAAGAGGCCCAACCTCCCACAGTGGGGGTGAAATTTCAATGTGAGGTTTGAAGGGGTCAAACATCTCAACTAAAGTAGTTGTATCCTCAACACGTTCTATGGTTACTATGAGAGCTATAACTGAGAAAGCAGGAGAAAGCTGGGTCTCCCTCCATCTGGGTGCTTGTCCTAAAGGGGTGTTGTATGTGGTTACCTGTCAATCAAGAAATGTGAGACAATTCATAAAGAGGAACTGCTATGATTAGCTTCTTATTGGTGTCTCCTCTTCTTCCAGGTAACCCCAGACACCTGCATGTTCTGATTGGGACCTCAGTGGTCATCATCCTCTTCATCCTCCTCCTCTTCTTTCTCCTTCATCGCTGGTGCTGCAACAAAAAAAGTAAGTCTCACGAAGCAGAGGCCAGAGAGCTCAGGGCCATGTGGGGAAGCAGGATGGGAGCACTCAGGTGTGTGTTCCTCACAGACAGGATGGTCCCTGGCCCAAGGCAGCAGCCACAGAGGGAGGACTTTCTAGAGAGAGCACCAGACTCCCTGTCCCTGCCTTCAGCTCACAGACCATTGCCTGATTCTGAACTGTATCCTCATGTCCCCTGCAGCCACTCACATCCAGGAGAAGGTTCCATGACAGGCAGAAAGTGGGAGACAGAATCAATGGGATGGGAACTCAGAGCTATTCATGGGATGGGTCCTTGAGCTCAGAGAGATAGAATGTCTGAGTCTGCTGTTGGCAACTGAGGGACCTCAGGCTCCTATGGTCTCCCCCTGTATGTTGGTATCTGCTTATGAAATGAGGGCCCAGAAGTGCCCTCTGAGCTGTTTTGTTGACTTCCGTCTTCTACAGATGCTGTTGTAATGGACCAAGAGCCTGCAGGGAACAGAACAGTGAACAGGGAGGTAGGTGCTCCTCGGCCCAGCCTCGTGGCTAGTGTTATTCCCAAAGAGTCCTGGAAAATGTGAGCACCCTCCCTCACTCAGCATTTCCCTCTCTCCAGGACTCTGATGAACAAGACCCTCAGGAGGTGACATATGCACAGTTGAATCACTGCGTTTTCACACAGAGAAAAATCACTCGCCCTTCTCAGAGGCCCAAGACACCCCCAACAGATATCATCGTGTACACGGAACTTCCAAATGCTGAGCCCTGATCCAAAGTTGTCTCCTGCCCATGAGCACCACAGTCAGGCCTTGAGGGGATCTTCTAGGGAGACAACAGCCCTGTCTCAAAACTGGGTTGCCAGCTCCAATGTACCAGCAGCTGGAATCTGAAGGCGTGAGTCTGCATCTTAGGGCATCGCTCTTCCTCACACCACAAATCTGAACGTGCCTCTCCCTTGCTTACAAATGTCTAAGGTCCCCACTGCCTGCTGGAGAGAAAACACACTCCTTTGCTTAGCCCACAATTCTCCATTTCACTTGACCCCTGCCCACCTCTCCAACCTAACTGGCTTACTTCCTAGTCTACTTGAGGCTGCAATCACACTGAGGAACTCACAATTCCAAACATACAAGAGGCTCCCTCTTAACACGGCACTTAGACACGTGCTGTTCCACCTTCCCTCATGCTGTTCCACCTCCCCTCAGACTAGCTTTCAGCCTTCTGTCAGCAGTAAAACTTATATATTTTTTAAAATAATTTCAATGTAGTTTTCCCTCCTTCAAATAAACATGTCTGCCCTCATGGTTTAGGTAATGGGACTCTTTTCTTGCCTAAGGCTTCCGGTGTTATCAGTACCATGTCCATATAATCCCATCTGTTCTCCACCGGGTTCTCACCTCTGGACTCTGAGCTTCTGGAAGCAGTGTGGAGCCTCATTTGTCTCTGGGACTCCAATTTCCATCCAAAGATGCAGCACATAGGAGGTTCCAAGGATCGGGAATCACATGAACAAGTGACATTGTTACTCTCTGCAGACCTGGAAAGCTGGCAGAGTCATTCCACGATGAAACATTTGTAGAGTCATAGGCCTTGTTAGTCTCATCTCCATGGGGACACATATCAACACATCATCTTTCATACTATAAATATACGGTCACTCCTCCGTATCTGTGGGGTTTACAGGTCTTTATTGAACAAAGTATAAATCAAAAATATTCAGAGAAAATATCCACAGAGTTCCAAAACTCATAACTATGTTGAATGGACACAAATGAAGCTGTGTGTAGGCTGTATCAGGAATTATAAGTAATCAAGAGATGATTTCATGTATACAGGAGGATGTGCATATGTTATTTGCAAGCGCTGTGCCATTTCATATAAGAGGCTTGAGCATCTACAGATTTTGGTATCTGAGTGGAGATCTCGAAACCAATCACCCACGAATAGTGAAGGATGACCGTATATGACTTTTATTTCTCAAATTTAAATATAAATCAAAAAATGTACAACTAGATAAAAACTAAGAAGTGTTTTTATAGTGTGAGTTAGATTTATTTTTTACTAGGTGTAACCCATTGGTTTAATATTATTTATTGAGAAGACATTCTATGCCACCTTAAACCACACGGCAGCCTTTGTCAACTCTAAAGGGACTGTGTGTACATGGATGTATTTTAGACAGTTTCTGCTAAGGGGCTGTCTGTGTCCACACACTTGATGATGCTACACTTTATGTAGCCTTATAGAACCCTTTAAATTTAGTAGCCAGAGCCCTCTAATTTGTTATTATAGGCTATTTGCTTTTTTTTTTCTTGAGGCGGAGTCTTGCTCTGTCGCCCAGGCTGGACTGCAGTGACACAATCTCAGCTCACTGCAACCTCCGCCTCCCAGGTTCAAGCGATTCTCGTGCCTCAGCCTCTTGAGTAGCTGGCGTTACAGGTGCCTGCCACCAGGCATGGCTAATTTTTGGATTTTTAGCAGAGACACGGTTTCACTATGTTGGCCAGGCTGCTCTCAATCCCCTCATCTCAGTTGATCCGCCCACCTCGGCTTCCCGACGTGCTGGGGAAACTTGATTTTCTATAGCATTATGTTACTGGATATTTCTGTAAAATTTAAAATGAGGGAGGCAGAGAGACAGAGAGAGATCAAACTCCAGAGTTGGGACTCTGGAATCTTGGGTCATGAGACAAATTTTAGATTAAACTACAAAACTCCAGAATTTACAGGTGTGGTTTTTGCTGATAAAGTACAATTCTAAGATTGTAAATAATTGCATAATCCTTCCCTGGGAATTTAAATCATTTTAACTGGTTCTGCTGTAATACTAGAAATACAAGCATGAAAAATTCTAATGGTTTATTAGTCACAATGACTCTGAAAACCTTAATAATACCTATTAAATATTTTGCATATTACACATGAAGAAGAGTTTGAATCTCAGATAAAAACAATAAAAATACATGAAAAGTCTTTCACGTTAGCACAGATTTTAGGCATCTCGTGTTCAGGAGGTTGGATCTGAGACGTGTTTTGAGTTGGTCATAGTGAAGGACGCTAGGTGTAAATTCTAGTGAGAACAATTTCCAGGAAGCCGTGTTCCGCTCTTGAGCGAGCACCCACTGGGCCTCATGCAAGGTAGAATGAGCCTGCGTACGTCACCCTCCCATGATGTGGTCAACATGTAAACTGCATGGGCAGGGCGCCAAATAACATCCTGTGCGCTGCTGAGCTGAGCTGGGGCACGGCCGCCTGTCTGCACCGGCAGCACCATGTCGCTCACGGTCGTCAGCATGGCGTGTGTTGGTGAGTCCTGGAAGGGAATAGAGGAAGGGAGTGTGGGGTTGGAGATCTGGGCCCAGAGGTGGAGATATAGGCCTGGAGGTGGAGTTGTGGGCCTGGAGTGGAGATCTGGGCCTGGAGTGGATATATGGGCCTAGAGATGGAGTGATGGGCCTAGAAGTGGAGATCTGGGCCTGGAGTGCCGATAGGAACCTGGAGGGGAGATAGGAGCCTGGAGTGGAGATATGGGCCTGGAGGTGGAGTTATAGGCCTATAGTAGAGATATGGGCCTGGAGTGGAGATTTGGGCCAGGAGTGGAGATATGGGCCTAGAGGTGGATATCTGGGCCTAGAGTGGAAATATGGGCCTAGGATGGAGATATGGGCCTGGTTGTGGAGATATGGGACTGGAGAGGAGATATGGGCCTAGAGTGGAGATATGGGCTTGGGGTGGAGATCTGGGCCTGGGGTGGAGATATGGGCCTGGAGGTGGAGTTACGGGCCTTCAGTAGAGATATGGGCCTGGGGTGGAGATATGGGCTTGGGGTGGAGATCTGGGCCTGGAGTGGAGATATGGGCCTGGAGGTGGAGTTACTGGCCTTCAGTAGAGATATGGGCCTGGTGTGGAGATATGGGCCTGGATTGGAGATATGGGCCTAGGTTGGAGATCTGAGCCTGGAGTGGAGATATGGGCCTGGATTGGAGATATGGGCTTACAGTGGAGATCTTGGCCTGGATTGGCGATATGGGCCTGGATTGGCGATATGGGCCTATGATGGAAATATCGGCCTGGAGTGGAGATATGGGCCTGGAGTGGAGATACAGGCCTAGGGTGGAAATATTGGCCTGGAGTGGAGATATGGGCTTGTGGTGGGGATATGGGCTTGTGGTGGGGATCTGGGCTTGGAGGCTGGGTCTCTGCACAGCCGACAGCCCTGTTCTTGGGTGCAGGTAGGCACTGAGGGTGAGTTTAACTTCAGTCCAGGAAGGGCCTGCCTACCAAGACTCACAGCCCAGTGAGGGCAGCAAGGGAGGGCTGGTTTGCCTGCAGATGGATCGTCCATCATGATCTTTCTTTCCAGGGTTCTTCTTGCTGCAGGGGGCCTGGCCACATGAGGGTGAGTCCTTCTCCAAACCTTAGGGTGTCATCTCCCCACATAAGAGGATTTTCCTGAAACAGGAGGGAAGTCCTGTCAGGGAGCCTCTCATAAACTAGGAAGAGGGGACCCTGGGGTGCTCGGCCCACAGTTCCGACCTCGCCTCCCTGGCCTTTCATTCCCTTGGCAGAGTCAAGTTCTGTGGGGACCAGGGTTAGACTGGGGTGCTCAAAGCTGGGGTGCGTGGTGGGGAAGTGGTAGGAACAGCAGATCCTCTGAGGACAAAGGTGTTACTCACACTTCAGCGTTTCCATGACGGTAGGGGCTGCAGTGTGGCTGCTGTCACTCCACCAGAAGAGGTGGGAAACCACAGCCATGGCCCTGACATTCCAAATCCTCTGATGGGGGCTCAGTTGCTTATTTTCATTCAGGCATCTGCTGATATTCCATTCTCAAAGACATGCCCTCCACCCCATGTCTACCCTGTGTTGTTTTATGTGAGTAATCTTACAGTATTAAAATCTAGTAGGAGTCTCTTACTCAGCACTTGCTCAAAGTTCTCAGCTGACACTTTTGTTGTAGGGAGACACCTTGTGTTTGCGGGATGGGTCCTTCCTTTAGCCCTGGGCACCAAGGTGTGATAGCAGCCATAGAAACTTGGAAAGCGAGGAGAATCTTCAGAGCACAGGGAGGGAGGGGTGGCTCCACATCCTCCTCTCTAAGGCGGTGCCTCCTTCTCCCCAAGGTGGTCAGGACAAGCCCTTGCTGTCTGCCTGGCCCAGCTCTGTGGTGCCTCCAGGACATGTGATTCTTCGGTGTCATTCTTATCTTGGGTTTAACAACTTCAGTCTGTAAAAGGAAGATGGGGTGCCTGGCACTGAGCTCTACAACAGAATATTCTGGAAGAGCCTTTTCATGGGCCCTGTGACCCCAGCACACACAGGGACGTACAGATGTCGGGGTTCACACCCACACTACCCCAGTGGGTGGTCGGCACCCAGCAACACCCTGGTGATCATGGCCACAGGTCAGAGGGCTCCTGTCTTGGATTCTCCTTTCCCACCTCCTGAATCCCAGAGCTTCTGGTGGGCGTGTCCTTGAGGGTCCCATCACCCAGGCCCTGACTATATTTGGGGTAAAGGGGGATTGAATACAGGGAAATGGGTGCTGTGGTGGGAAGAATAATTGTCCCCAGTGATGACTACATTCTAATCCCTGGAGTCTGTGACTATTTATGTTATAGGGGAAGGAACTGAAGGGGAAGATGGAGCTCAGGTTGTTGATGAGTTGACCTTGAGATGGGGAGACAGCCTGGACTGTCCCGCTGGGCTCAGTGTAATCACAAGGGTCCACATGAAAGGAGGAGGAAGAGGGGAGTGGGGATTAGAGCAGCGCAATGGGAGACTCCACCAGCTTTGAAGGTGGAGGAAGGCCAGGAGCCATGAATGCAGGTGGCCTGTAGAGGTTGGAAAAGTCAAGGAAATGATTCTCCAGAGTCTCCAGAGGGAACGAAGCCCTGCAGATGCCTTGATTTTAGCCCAGGAAAAACAGGGTCCTATTTCTGTCTCCAGTAGTGAAATGGGTCAGTGTGCTCTCTCCTGCTGCCATGCTTCTGATAATTTTCTACAGCAGCAACAGGAAACCAACACTGGAACCCAGGTCAAGGACAAGGTAAGAAACAACACAAGGATAGCCGGGTGTGGTGGCAGGCGCATGTAATCCTAGCGACTTGGGAGGCTGAGGGCAGGAGAATCACTTGAACCCAGGAGACAGAGGTTGCAGTGACCCTAGACCACACCACTTCACTCCAGCTGGGGTGAAGGAGTGAGACTCTGTCTCCATAATTAATTAATTAATTAAAGGAACCAAACAAGGGGAAGGTTGGCTACACCGAGATGAGCAAGTGTGGGATGATGATGCCACCACCAGGCTCCATCCACATAGGGAGGGGTTGATACTCCTCAAACCAGCACCAGGAGCCAGCCTATGGAAGCTGGCACCATGGAGAAGGCACAGGCATGGCAAGAGTGGCTCCCAGTCCCGACCAGGAACAGGGTGTGTGGACACTGGTGCCTGCCTTATTCATCAGTTCATACCTACTGCCAAGGATTCCAATTCATCCAAAAGAGATTGAACCAGGCTGATAAGAGGCTGGATGTGCAGCCTATCCTGGTTCCTCTTTCACCCCCACATAAACAGCAGGAAAGACATTAGTGTGAAATAGATACAACACCCCAAGAGATGAGGCTAAGCCCAGTGGGAAGGGAATCAGAGGCGACTAGAGACAGAGGGACAGAGAAGAGGGAGGGAGACAGATGGAAGGACCTGCACCAGGAGTTATGGGCACAGAAAAGAACATGAAGACACAGAGAGGAAGGAGAGAGACAGACACCAGCAAGGGGAAGCCTCACTCATTCTAGGTGCCATGGATGGGATGATAAAGAGAGACACCTTCTAAACTCACAACCTCTCTTCCTAGGAGTCCACAGAAAACCTTCCCTCCTGGCCCACCCAGGTCCCCTGGTGAAATCAGAAGAGACAGTCATCCTGCAATGTTGGTCAGATGTCAGGTTTCAGCACTTCCTTCTGCACAGAGAAGGGAAGTTTAACGACACTTTGCACCTCACTGGAGAGCACCATGATGGGGTTTCCAAGGCCAACTTCTCCATCGGTCCCATGATGGAAGACCTGGCAGGGACCTACAGATGCTACGGTTCTGTTACTCACTCCCCCATCAGTTGTCAGCTCCCAGTGACCCTCTGGACATCGTCATCACAGGTGAGAGTGTCCGGACATTCTTCTCATTGTCATTGGGATGCAGAGTGAATGATCCACGACTTGGAACCCCCAGGTAGTTGTAAGGAAGATGAGCTTGGTATTCTTATGGAGAGAGACTGACTTGGTGAGGTCTGTACCAACAGAGACAGAGAAACAGGAGACACAAGTACAGACCAGGTGTCATAACAGAGGACAGACACAGGGGCCATACCGGGAGTTAGAAAAGACAGAAGGAGTTAAAGGAGACAGACAGACAGACATGTCCCAGAGAGAGGTGTCCCTCCATGCTGACTTTGCTCAGAGACCTGGCACAGGTTAGAAGTTTCATTTCTGTTTTACCTCCACAAAGTGTTCTCTACCAGGAGAACCCAAGGACACCCATATTTCTGACCTGAGTTGGGCCCTGTGGCCTCAGGCCTTGTGGCACCTACAGATGCCGTGTTTATTCTGACACCTCTGCCTTCCATGTAATGGAGAGTAACCGTCCCAGGATATCATGGCCCCAGAACACCAACTCCTGTATGCTGTGTGAACTTGTGGTCTCCAGACTGGATTCTGAGGCTCACATTCCAAATAACCCCACATATGAAAGGATCACTGAGAGGCACAGAGAGAAATCAGGGACACCAAAAAGCAAAGACATAAACACACAGAGAATGAGCCAGAGGAAGGAGATTGAGAGACTCACAGACACATAAAGAGAGAGAAAAGAGGGCAGAGGAGTGGTGAGAATGATGGAAGGGAGCAGAGAAAAGCACTAAAATTAGACTCCTGAGGGAGAGGCACAAGGACATAGAAAGATGGAGATGTGGGGATGAATTGCAGAGATTCCAAAGAGAACTAGAGAGACCGAGAGGCAGAGCAAGACAGATGATAGATGGATAGATATAGATAGATGATAAATAGGTAGATGATAGATAATAGGTTAAAGATACATAGATGATGATTGATTGATTCATTAATAGATGAGACATAGAGATGATGATGATGAAGACAGATAGATAATACATAGAGATAGAGAGGCAGACAGAAGTCATAGAGAGAGAGATGATACATAGATATAGATAACAGATGATTGATGGATAGATAGACAAGTGATAGATACATAGATGATATATAGATATAGATGACAGGTAGAGAATTTGTAGATAGGCACCGAATAGATAAATAGATAGATCGATAGATAATAGATAGAAATATGCAGAAAGTTATGAACAGGACACAAAGTGAGAAACTTAGAATTTAAAAAAGTAACATCAAGTCAACCAATCCAAGGAGAGTCAGAGAGAATAAAACAATCCAAAAAGGGAAAACATATCTAGAGGTGTGGAAGCGAGGTCAGAGACCTAGAGAGACAGAGAAGGTGGAAGGAGGAAATAGACATGAAGAGAGATGGGGTGGAGGGTGAGAGAGAGAGAGAGAGAGAGCATTAGGTCATAGAGCAGGGGAGTGAGTTCTCAGCTCAGGTGAAGGGAGCTGTGACAAGGAAGATCCTCCGTAAGGAAAATGCCTCTTCTCCTTCCAGGTCTATATGAGAAACCTTCTCTCTCAGCCCAGCCGGGCCCCACGGTTCTGGCAGGAGAGAGCGTGACCTTGTCCTGCAGCTCCCGGAGCTCCTATGACATGTACCATCTATCCAGGGAGGGGGAGGCCCATGAACGTAGGTTCTCTGCAGGGCCCAAGGTCAACGGAACATTCCAGGCTGACTTTCCTCTGGGCCCTGCCACCCACGGAGGAACCTACAGATGCTTCGGCTCTTTCCGTGACTCTCCCTACGAGTGGTCAAACTCGAGTGACCCACTGCTTGTTTCTGTCACAGGTGAGGAAAGCCCATGGCTGTCCCATGTCCTATGATCCTAGAGCCTTAGCTGAGGAGCTTCCTGCTGAGGATGGAGAGAAGGATGAACAGATGCAGAGAGAAGACGAAGCTTGGGTGTGAGGGAGGGATCAGGGCACAGGATGGCAGACAGGGCACCTCCAAACCCTCCTACATGGCCTGCATGAAGGCCTGCGGCCAGGACTCCAGGCACCCAGGCAGATGGAGAAAGCGGTCAGGAGAGACCCAGAGGAGGGAGACTGGGCTCAGTTTGGGAAGATCAGAGGTTCCCTCAGCCCCTCAACATTACCCATTTCCCAGAAGCCCATCCTGGCCTCCCACCCACACAGGGATGTCATCACCTGCAACCCCTACACCCTTTACTTTTGTTTGAGAAATATTTATTGAGGATAAATATACCTATATAGCTTACCACCTTTAACATTTTTTTTTTGAGGCGGAGTCTAGCTCTGTCCCCTATGCTGGAGTGCATTGGCACAATCTCAGCTCACTGCAACTTCCGCCTCCTGGGTTCAAGCGATTCTCTTGCCTCAGCCACCTGAGTAGCTGGTGCTACAGGCGCGCACCACCATGCCAGGCTACTTTTTGTATTTTTAGTAGAGAGGGGGTTTCACCATGTTGGTCAAGCTGGTCTCGAACTCCTGACCACGTGATCCACCCGCATCAGCCTCCCAAAGTGCTGGGATTACAGGCATGAGCCACCACGCCCAGCCACATTTACCATTTTTAAGTGTAAAGTCTAGTGGTCATAAATACATTAATATATATATATATACACATATTTTTTTTTACCCTCCACCCTTTTCTTCCTGGCCTCTGGTAGCCACCATTCTACTCTCTACCTTCATGAGATCCACCTTTTAGCTCCTGTATATGGGTAAGAAATGGGAATCTTTGTAATGACCTCCAGTTCCATCCATGTGGCTGCAAATATCAGGATGTTTTTCTTTCTATGGAAGAGTAGTCTCCACTATGCAAATGTACCACATTCTCTCTATCCATTCACCCACTGATGGGCAGGTAGGTTGACTCCTCATCTTGGCTACTGTGAAGAGTGCTGCACCAATCATACGAGTGCAGATATCACTTCGATATATTGATTTACTTTCCTTTGGATATAAACCCAGTAGTGAAATTGCTGGATACTATGAAAGTTCTCTTTTTAGTTTTTCGTTTGTTGTTTTGTTTTTGTTTTTGAGACAGTTTCCCTCTGTGCCCAGGCTGGAGTACAAGTGATGTCATCTTGGCTCATTGCAACCTCTGCCTCCTGGGTTCAAATGATTTTCCTGCCTCAGCCTCCCTAGTATCAGGGATTATAGGCGCACGCCACCATGCCTGGCTACTTTTTGTTTTTTTTAGTATAGATGCGGTTTCCCCATGTTGGCTGGGCTGCTCTCAAACTCATGACCTCAACTGAGGTGCCCGCCTCGGTCTCCCAAAGTGCCGGGATTACAGGCATGATCCACCTCACCCAACCTCTTTTTAGTTCTTTAAAGGACTTCCACACTTTTCTCCGTAATGGCTGTACTAATTTACACTCCTACCAACAGGATACCAGGATTCTCCTTTCTCTAACACCTTGCCAGCATTTCTTTTGCCTGTCTTGCAGCTAAAAGCCATTTTATTTTATTTCATTTTATTTTGAGATGGAGTTTCGCTCTTGTCACCCAGGCTGAGTGCAGTGGTGCGATCTCGGCTCACCACAACCTCCACCTCCCAGGTTCAAGCGATTCTCCTGCCTCAGCCTCCCGAGTAGCTGGAATTACAGGCACACGCCACCACGCCCGACTAATTTTTGTATTTTTAGTAGAGACAGTGTTTCTCCATGTGGGTCAGACTGGTCTCAAACTCCCGACCTTATGAGATTCACCCACCTCAGGCTCTCAAAGTTCTAGGATGACAGACGTGAGCCACCACGCCCGGCCTAAAAGCCATTTTAATGGGGTGAGATGAAAACTCACTTTGATTTTAATTTGTGTTTCTCTGATGATGAGTGATACTGAGCACTTTTTCGTATGTGGGGAAATTTCATGTCTTTTGCTCCTGTTTCAATTAAATCATTTGTTTTATTGAGTTGTTTGAGCTTCTTATATTTCTAGTTATTAATCCCATCTCAGATGCATAGTTTGCACATATTTGCTCCCAATCTGTGGGTTGTCTCTTCACTTTGTTGGTTTATTTTTAGCGGTGCAGAAGTTGCTTAGTTTGAGGTAATCCCAATGGTCTATTTTTGCTTCGATTACTTGTGTTTTGAAGGTTTAAAACAAAATGTCTTCCTTCAGACAAACGTCCTGGAGCATTTCCCCAATATTTTCTTCTACGTGTTTCATAGGTTCAGGCCTTAGACTCACATCTTTAATCCATTTTCATTTGATTTTTGTGTATAGTGACAGGCAGAGGTGCAGTTTCATTCCTCTGCATGTCGATGTCCAGGTTTCCCTGCACTGTTTATTGAAAAGACTGTCCTTTCCTGATTGTGAGTTCTTGGCACCTTTGTCAAAGTCCATTGGATGGGCTGGGCATGGTGGCTGACACCTGCAATTTCAGCACTTTGGGAGCCCGAGGTGGGTGGATCACCTGAGGCCAAGAGTTCAAGATTAGTCTGGCCAACGTGATGAAACATCGTCTCCACTAAAAATATAAAAATTAGCTGAGCATGGTGGTCAGCACCTGTAATACCACTACTCAGGAGTTTGAGGCAAGAGAAGTGATTGAACCCAGGAGGCTGTGGTGGCAGTGAACCGAGATTGCACCTCTGCACTCCAGCCTGGGTGACAGAGCAAGACTCCATCTCAAAAGAAAAACAAAAAATACATTGGAGGTAAATGCATGGATTATATCTGTGTTATTCATTCTGCTCCGTTGTTCTATGTGCCTTTCTTCATGCCAACGTCATGCTGTCTTGCTTACTACAGCTCTGTAACATATTTTGAGATCAGGTAGTGTGATGCTCCTGTTTTCTCTTTATACCTTGAAGTCTCAAGACAGTAGCCGTCACATACAAAAATTACGGAAAAAAGGATCCCAGGACTCCCAGGGCCCAATATTAGATAACAGAGTGTTGGCCATGAACCAACCTCAAAGATTTCCACTGAGTAGAGGACAGACACCCTCATTTCCTCACCTCTCTCCTGTCTCATGTTCTAGGAAACCCTTCAAATAGTTGGCCTTCACCCACTGAACCAAGCTCCAAAACCGGTGAGTACAGAACCCTCTTATATCCGCTTTTGGAAACCTGGGGAGGTGGAAACCTTGGATTCAGGCGTTGACTCAGCATCTCACAGCTCTGACATTGTACGCCTGTCTTCTACCATCTCCAAACTCCAGATACTCCAACAGCGAAAGGGATCTGGACCCAAAACAGGGCTCTGTGAAATCTCTTAATCTCTCATTTTATGGAGCTGAGATCTCCTACAAGCTAGAAAAATGATTGGCAATCTGACATCCTTCTCAGGAAAAATGCAATGTTTGTTCTGCCTGCATTCCTAACTGGAGGATAAATTCCTGGGGGCTTGAGAGAGGGAAGGGTAGGGAACATTTGATGAGGGCGAGGTGTTTTAGAGAAGTTCCACTTGCCCAGGAATGAATTACTGTTGGTCATGAAGCAACCCTGGCTGACTCAGCAGAGCAAGAGCTTTGCCTTAACAGAGAACGGAGCTCATGCACGCACACTTCGACTCACTGACTCATTCAGCCACGGCCCCATGCTCAGGCCGTGGAAAAGGCAATTCCCAGCACTGCAGGAGGCCAAGGCGGGTGGATCACTTGAAGTCAGGAGTTCCAGACCAGCCTGGCCAAAATGGTGAAACCCTGTCTCTATGAAAAATACAAAAATTAGCCGAGCATGGTGGTGCATCCCTGTAATCCCAGCTCCTACTCTTGAGGATGAAGCAGGAGAACGACTTCAACCCAGGAGGTGGAGGTTGCAGTGAGTGGAGATTGCATCACTGCACTCCAGCCTGGGTGACACAAGGAGACTCCGTCTCAAAAAATAAAAATAAGAAATGCATAAATATAATAAAACACACACGAATGACAAAGGCACCTGAATTCCAATCATCATTTTTGTATTTCTCTATAATTACTTCTTTGATCCTTTGTCTTATCCATTAGGCAATGAGCCTAAAACCTCTTCCGTATTTGGCTTTCTGTGAGCATGAGACCATATAGAAAATGTGAAAGCCCGCTGAATCCTCCAGCACAGATCGTGGAATAGAGAAAGTGCTCTGTTCATCACAAAAAAAACTTGCCCTCTCACTCAAATCCCCCACTTCACCCCTACTTCCAATCACCTGTGGAGATTCAGATAGACCATGGGGAGGTAAACATTAATACTCCTTGGAGTGAGTCCAGATCTTGGAATGAGAGATCAGCACCAGCACTAGCTCCTGCTCCCCTTTCCTACTAATTCACAGGAGGACAGGTGGTATTGAAGCAATAGATGGTGGAGGGGGTGGTCCTTCCCCCAGCCTCTCAGGTAGAACAGCAGCCTAACATGTGTCTCCCGAGATCACAAAGAGTAGGACGTTTCACAGGGGCTTCAACACGATTTCCTGGCTGTTGGACATAAGATAACTCTATTTCGCTTTTTTATCTTGATTTCACTTTTGTTTCCTTTCCTTGGAGAACGCAAGTTGTTTGACTCAAGAATGCTGTGGATGTAGAAATCCTAAAGCACATTCGCTGTGTGTCAATCCCAGTGCAGTCTTCCCAGAAAAGACCCTAAACACCTCCTAGACTGCACCTGGGCCTACGCCAATTCCTATCACTCACCGTCACTCCAGGGAGACAGAACACACAGAGAATACGTTACATAGGCAGGTTCATTACTAACAGATAAGCAGCGAGTGAAAACAGAAGCCTACATTTCAATGTGAGCCAGTCCCTCAAGGCTCAGAAAAGCTGCTCGGGACATATGGAGTCACCCCATTTGCAGTGTAGCTGGGGGAAGCCAGAAAGCAGCCCAGCCTGGGTTTTGTACCCTGGAGCCACAGGAAGCACTCAGCTAAAGCACTGCATGACGTCCTCCTCCAGGAAGAACAGGAAGACAGCCCAGGCTGCTCTGGGACGTTCCTCCTGATCTCAGGACGTTGCTGTCTTAGTCCATTTTTGTTGCTCTAAAGGAACACTTGAGCCTGGGCAACTTCTAAAGAAAAGAGATTGGTTTGCCTCACCGTTCTGCAGGCTGTACTGGAAGCATGGCACCAGCATCTATTTCTCGTGATGGCCTCAGGCTGCTCCCACTCTGGCAGAAGGGAAGGAGGGTCTGTCTGTGCAGAGACCACAGAGATCACACGGCAAGAGAGGGAGCAAGGGGGAGGGGGAGCGATGGAGCTTCCAAGTTCTTTTGAACAACCAGCTCTCCAGGAACTAATAGAGGGGGAACTAGCTAACCCCGTCTCCTTGGGACAGCATTGATCTGTTCATGATGGATCCACCTCCATGACCCAAACACCTCTCAAGAGGCCCAACCTCCCACAATGGGGGTGAAATTTCAATGTGAGGTTTGAAGGGGTCAAACATCTCAACTAAAGTAGTTGTGTCCTCAGCACATTCTATGGTTACTTTGAGAGCTATAACTGAGAAAGCAGGAGAAAGCTGGGTCTCCCGCCATCTGGGTGCTTGTCCTAAAGAGGTGTTTTACGTGGTTACCTGTCAATCAAGAAATGCGAGACAATTCATAAAGAGGAACTGCTATGATTAGCTTCTTATTGGTGTCTCATCTTCTTCCAGGTAACCCAAGACACCTGCACGTTCTGATTGGGACCTCAGTGGTCATCATCCTCTTCATCCTCCTCCTCTTCTTTCTCCTTCATCGCTGGTGCTCCAACAAGAAAAGTAAGTCTCACGAAGGAGAGGCCAGAGAGCTCAGGGCCATGTGGGGAAGCAGGATGGGAGCACTCAGGTGTGTGTTCCTCACAGGTAGGATGGTCCCTGGCCCAAGGCAGCAGCCACAGAGGCAGGACTTTCTAGAGAGGGCACCAGACTCCCTGTCCCTGCTTTCAGCTCACAGACCGTTGCCTGATTCTGAACTGTATCCTCATGTCCCCTGCAGCCACTCACATCCAGGAGAAGGTTCCATGACAGGCAGAAAGTGGGAGACAGAATCAATGGGATGGGAACTCAGAGCTATTCATGGGATGGGTCCTTGAGCTCAGAGAGATAGAATGTCTGAGTCTGCTGTTGGCAACTGAGGGACCTCAGGCACCTATGGCCTCCCCCTGTTTGTTGGTATCTGCTTATGAAATGAGGACCCAGAAGTGCCCTCCGAGCTCTTTTGTTGACTTCCGTCTCCTACACATGCTGCTGTAATGGACCAAGAGCCTGCAGGGAACAGAACAGCGAATAGCGAGGTAGGTGCTCCTCGGCCCAGCCTCGTGGCTAGTGTTATTCCCAAACAGTCCTGGAAAACGTGAGCACCCTCCCTCACTCAGGATTTCCCTCTCTCCAGGACTCTGATGAACAAGACCCTCAGGAGGTGACATACGTACAGTTGGATCACTGCGTTTTCACACAGAGAAAAATCACTCGCCCTTCTCAGAGGCCCAAGACACCCCCAACAGATACCAGAGTGTACACGGAACTTCCAAATGCTGAGTCCAGATCCAAAGTTGTCTCCTGCCCATGAGCACCACAGTCAGGCCTTGAGGGGATCTTCTAGGGAGACAACAGCCCTGTCTCAAAACCGGGTTGCCAGCTCCCATGTACCAGCAGCTGGAATCTGAAGGCGTGAGTCTGCATCTTAGGGCATCGCTCTTCCTCACACCACAAATCTGAATGTGCCTCTCTCTTGCTTACAAATGTCTAAGGTCCCCACTGCCTGCTGGAGAGAAAACACACTCCTTTGCTTAGCCCACAATTCTCCATTTCACTTGACCCCTGCCCACCTCTCCAACCTTACTGGCTTACTTCCTAGTCTACTTGAGGCTGCAATCACACTGAGGAACTCACAGTTCCAAACATACAAGAGGCTCCCTCTTAACACGGCACTTAGACACGTCCTGTTCCACCTTCCCTCATGCTGTTCCACCTCCCCTCAGAGTATCTTTCAGCCTTCTGTCAGCAGTAAAACTTATATATTTTTTAAAATAATTTCAATGTAGTTTTCCCTCCTTCAAATAAACATGTCTGCCCTCATGGTTTCGGTAATGGGACTCTTTTCTTGCCTAAGACTTCCATTATCATTACCATGTCCACATAACCCCATCTGTTCTCCACTGGGTTCTCACCCCCGGACTCTGAGTTTCTGGAAGCAGGGTGGAGCCTCATTTGTCTCTGGGACTCCTATTTCCATCCAAAGATGTAGCACATAGGAGGTTCCAAGGATCGTGAATCACATGAACAAGTGATATTCTTACTCTCTGCAGACCTGGAAATCTGGCAGAGTCATTCCAAGATGAAACATTTGTAGAATCATAGGCCTTGTTAGTCTCATCTACACAGGGACACATATCAACACATCATCTTTCACACTATAAATATACAGTCACTCCTCCATATCTGTGGGGTTTACAGTTCTTTATTGAACCGAGTATAAATCAAAAATATTCAGAGAAAGTATCCACAGAGTTACAAAAAGCAGAACTGTGTTGAATGGACACAAATGAAGCTGTGTGTAGGCTGCATCAGGAATTATAAGTAATCTAGAGATGATTTCATGTATACAGGAGGATGTGCATAGGTTATTTGCAAACTCTGTGCCATTTCATATAAGAGGCTTGAGCATCTACAGATTTTGGTATCTGAGTGGAGATCTCGAAACCAATCACCCACGAATAGTGAAGGATGACCGTATATGACTTTTATTTCTCAAATTTAAATATAAATCATAAAAAATGTACAACTAGATAAAAACTAAGAAGTGTTTTTATAGTGTGAGTTAGATTTATTTTTTCCTAGGTATAACCCATTGGTTTAATATTATTTATTGAGAAGACATTCTATGCCACCTTAAACCACACGGCAGCCTTTGTCAACTCTAAAGGGACTGTGTGTACACGGATGTACTTTAGACACTGTTTCTGCTAAGGGGCTCTCTGTGTCCACACTCTTGATGATGCTGCACTTTATGTAGCCTTATAGAACCCTTTAAATTTAGTAGCCAGAGCTCTCTAATTTGTTATTATAGGCTATTTGCTTTTTTTTCTTGAGGCGGAGTCTTGCTCTGTCGCCCAGGCTGGACTGCAGTGACACAATCTCAGCTCACTGCAACTTCTGCCTCCCAGGTTCAAGCGATTCTCATGCCTCAGCCTCTTGAGTAGCTGGCGTTACAGGTGCCTGCCACCAGGCACGGCTAATTTTTGGATTTTTAGCAGAGACACGGTTTCACTATATTGGCCAGGCTGCTCTCAAACTCCTTATCTCAGTTGATCCGCCCACCTCGGCTTCCCAACGTGCTGGGGAAACTTGATTTTCTATAGCATTATGTTACTGGATATTTCTGTAAAATTTAAAATGAGGGAGGGAGAGAGACAGACGGAAAACAAACTCCAGAGTTGGGACTCTGGAATCTTGGGTCATGAGACAAATTTTAGATTAAACTACAAAACTCCAGAATTTACAGGTGGGGTTTTTACTGATAAAGTACAATTCTAAGATTGTAAATAATTGCATAATCCTTCCCTGGGAATTTAAATCATTTTAACTGGTTCTGCTGTAATACTAGAAATACAAGCATGAAAAATTCTAATGGTTTATTAGTGACAATGACTCTGAAAACATTAATAATACCTATTAGATATTTTGCATATTACACAGGAAGAAGAGTTTGAATCTCAGATAAAAACAATAGAAATACATGAAAAGTCTTTCATGTTAGCACAGATTTTAGGCATCTCGTGTTCGGGAGGTTGGATCTCAGACGTGTTTTGAGTTGGTCATAGTGAAGGACACTAGGTGTCAAATTCTAGCGAGAACAATTTCCAGGAAGCCGTGTTCCGCTCTTGAGCGAGCACCCACTGGGCCTCATGCAAGGTAGAAAGAGCCTGCGTACGTCACCCTCCCATGATGTGGTCAACATGTAAACTGCATGGGCAGGGCGCCAAATAACATCCTGTGCGCTGCTGAGCTGAGCTCGGTCGCGGCTGCCTGTCTGCTCCGGCAGCACCATGTCGCTCTTGGTCGTCAGCATGGCGTGTGTTGGTGAGTCCTGGAAAGCAATAGAGGGAGGGAGTGAGGGGATGGAGATCTGGGCCCAGAGGTGGAGATATAGGCCTGGAGGTGGAGTTATGGGCCTGGAGTGGAGATCTGGGCCTGGAGTGGATATATGGGCCTAGAGATGGAGTGATGGGCCTAGAAGTGGAGATCTGGGCCCAGAGGTCGAGATATAGGCCTGGAGGTGGAGTGATGGGACTGTAGTGGAGATCTGGGCCTGGAGTGGAGATAGGAACCTGGAGGGGAGATAGGAACCTGGAGGGGAGATATGGGCCTGGAGGTGGAGATATGGGCCTGGAGTGGAGTCATGGGCCTGGAGGTGGAGTTATGGGCCTGCAGTAGAGATATGGGCCTGAAGTGGAGACATGGGCCTGGAGTGGAGATATGGGCCAGGAGTGGAGATATGGGCCTAGAGGTCGATATCTGGGCCTGGAGTGGAGATATGGGCCAGGAGTGGAGATATGGGCCTAGAGGTCGATATCTGGGCCTGGAGAGGAGATATGTGCCTAGGATGGAGATACGGGCCTGGGTGTGGAGATATGGGACTGGAGAGGATATATGGGCCTGGAGTGGAGATATGGGACTGGAGAGGAGATATGGACCTGGAGTGGAGATAAGGGCCTGGATTGGAGATATGGGCCCAGGGTGGAGATCTGAGCCTGGATTGGAGATATGGGCCTGGATTGGCGATATGGGCTTAGGGTGGAAATATCGGCCTGGAGTGGAGATATGGGCCTGGAGTGGAGATATGGGCTTGAGGTGGGGATATGGACCTGGAGGCTGGGTCTCTGCACAGCCGACAGCCCTGTTCTTGGGTGCAGGTAGGCACTGAGGGTGAGTTTACCTTCAGCCCAGGAAGGGCCTGGCTACCAAGACTCACAGCCCAGTGGGGGCAGCAAGGGTGCCCTGGTTTGCCTGCAGATGGGTCATCCATCATGATCTTTCTTTCCAGGGTTCTTCTTGCTGCAGGGGGCCTGGCCACATGAGGGTGAGTCCTTCTCCCAACCTTCGGGTGTCATCTCCCCACATAAGAGGATTTTCCTGAAATGGGAGGGAAGTCCTGTCAGGGAGTCTCTCATAAACTAGGAAGAAGGGACCCTGGGGTGCTGGGCCCACATTTCTGACCTTGCCTCCCTGGCCTTTCATTCCCTTGGCAGAGTCAAGTTCTGTGGGGACCAGGGTTAGACTACGGTGCTCAAAGCTGGGGTGTGTGGTGGGGAAGTGGTAGGAACAGCAGATCCTCTGAGGACAAAGGTGTTACTCACACACTTCAGCGTTTCCATGACGGTAGGGGCTGCAGTGTGGCTGCTGTCATTCTACCAGAAGAGGTGGGAAAACCACAGCCATGGCCCTGACATTCCAATCCTCTGATGGGGACTCAGTTGTTTATTTTCGTTCAGGCATCGGCTGATATTCCATTCTCAAAGGACATGCCCTCCACCCCATGTCTACCCTGTGTTGTTTTATGTGAGTAATCTTACAGTATTAAAATCTAGTAGGAGTCTCTTACTCAGCACTTGCTCAAAGTTCTCAGCTGACACTTTTGTTGTAGGGAGACACCTTGTGTTTGCGGGATGGGTCCTTCCTTTAGCCCTGGGCACCAAGGTGTGATAGCAGCCATAGAAACTTGGAAAGCGAGGAGAATCTTCAGAGCACAGGGAGGGAGGGGCGGCTCCACATCCTCCTCTCTAAGGCGGTGCCTCCTTCTCCCCACGGTGGTCAGGACAAGCCCTTGCTGTCTGCCTGGCCAAGCCCTGTGGTGCCTCCAGGACATGTGATTCTTCAGTGTCATTCTTATCTTGGGTTTAACAACTTCAGTCTGTAAAAGGAAGATGGGGTGCCTGTCCCTGAGCTCTACAACATAATATTCTGGAACAGCCTTTTCATGGGCCCTGTGACCCCAGCACACGCAGGGACCTATACATGTCGGGGTTCACAACCACACTACCCCAGTGGGTGGTCGGCACCCAGCAACCCCCTGGAGATCACGGTCACAGGTCAGAGGGCTCCTGTCTGGGATTCTCCTTGTCCCACCTCCTGAATCCCAGAGCTCCTGGTGGGCGTGTCCTTGCGGGTCCCATCATGCAAGTCCTGACTGTATTTGGGGTAAAGGGGGATTGAATACAGGGAAATGGGTGCTGTGGTGGGAAGAATAATTGTCCCCAGTGATGACTACATTCTAATCCCTGGAGTCTGTGACTATTTATGATATAGGGGAAGGGACTGAAGGAGAAGATGGAGCTCAGGTTGTTGATGAGTTGACCTTGAGATGGGGAGACAGCCTGGACTGTCCTGATGGGCTCAGTGTAGTCACAGGGGTCCACATGAAAGGAGGAGGAAGAGGGGAGTGGGGATTAGAGCAGCATAATGGGAGTCTCCATCAGCTTTGAAGGTGGAGGAAGTCCAGGAGCCATGAATGCAGGTGGCCTATAGAGGCTGGAAAAGTCAAGGAACTGATTCTCCTGAGTCTCCAGAGGGAACGAAGCCCTGCAGGTGCCTTGATTTTACCCACGACAAACAGGGTCCGATTTCTGTCTCCAGAATTGGAAGGGGTTAGTGTGCTCTCTCCTGGTGCCATGCTTCTGATAATTTTCTACAGCAGCAACAGGAAACCAACACTGGAACCCAGGTCAAGGACAAGTTAAGAAACAACACAAGGATAGCCAGGCATGGTGGCAGGTGCATGTAATCCTAGCGACTTGGGAGGCTGAGGGCAGGAGAATCACTTGAACCCAGGAGACAGAGGTTGCAGTGAGCCTAGACCACACCACTTCACTCCAGCCTGGGCAAAGGAGTGAGACTCTGTCGCCAAAATTAATTAATTAATTAAAGAAACCAAACAAGGAGAAGGTTGGCTACACTGAGATCAGCAAGGCTCAGATGATGATGCCACCACCAGGCTCCATCCACATAGGGAGGGGTTGATACTCCTCCAACCAGCACCAGGAGCCAGCCTATGGAAGCTGGCACTGGCATGGCAAGAGTGGCTCCCAGTCCCTACCAGGAACAGGGTGTGTGGCCACTGGTGCCTGCCTTACTGATCAGTTCATACCTCCTGCCAAGGATTCCAATTCGTCCAAAAGAGATTGAACCAGGCTGCTAAGAGCCTGGATGTGCAGCCTATCCTGGTTCCTCTTCCACCCCCACATAGACAGCAGGAAAGACATTAGTTCGAAATAGATACAACAGCCCAAGAGATGAGGCTGAGCCCAGCGGCAAGGGAATCAGAGGCTACTAGAGACAGAGGGACAGAGAAGAGTGAGGGAGACAGATGGAAGGACCTGCACCAGGAGTTATGGGCACAGAAAAGAACATGAAGACACAGAGAGGAAGGAGAGAGATAAGACACCAGGAAGGGGAAGCCTGACTCAATCCAGGTGCCATGGATGGGATGATAAAGAGAGACACCTTCTAAACTCACAACCTCTCTTCCTAGGAGTCCACAGAAAACCTTCCCTCCTGGCCCACCCAGGTCGCCTGGTGAAATCAGAAGAGACAGTCATCCTGCAGTGTTGGTCAGATGTCATGTTTGAACACTTCCTTCTGCACAGAGAGGGGATGTTTAACGACACTTTGCGCCTCATTGGAGAACACCATGATGGGGTCTCCAAGGCCAACTTCTCCATCAGTCGCATGACGCAAGACCTGGCAGGGACCTACAGATGCTACGGTTCTGTTACTCACTCCCCCTATCAGGTGTCAGCTCCCAGTGACCCTCTGGACATCGTGATCATAGGTGAGAGTGTCCAGACTTTCTTCTCATTGTCATTGGGATGCAGAGTGAATGATCCAGGAATTGGAGACCCAGGTGGCTGTAAGGAAGATGAGCTTGGTATTCTTATGGAGAGAGACTGACTTGGTGAGGTCTGTGCCAACAGAGACAGAGAAACAGGAGACACAAGTAGAGACCAGGTGTCATAACAGAGAACAGACACAGGGGCCATACCGGGAGTTAGAAAAGACAGAAAGAGTTAAAGGAGACACACAGACAGACATGTCCCAGAGAGAGGTGTCCCTCCATGCTGACTTTGCTCAGAGACCTGGCACAGGTTAGAAGTTTCATTTCTGTTTTACCTCCACAAAGTGTTCTCTACCAGGAGAACCCAAGGACACCCATATTTCTGACCTGAGTTGGGCCCTGTGGCCTCAGGCCTTGTGGCACCTACAGATGCCATGTTTATTCTGACACCTCTGCCTTCCATGTAATGGAGAGTAATCGTCCCAGGATATCATGGCCCCACAACACCAACCCCTGTATGCTGTGTGAACTTGTAGTCTCCAGACTGGATTCTGAGGCTCATATTCCAAATAAGCCCACTTATGAGAGGATCAGTGAGAGGCACAGAGAGAAATCAGGGACACCAAAAAGCAAAGACATAAACACACAGAGAATGAGCCAGAGGAAGGAGATTGAGAGACTCACAGACACATAAAGAGAGAGAAAAGAGGGCAGAGGAGTGGTGAGAATGATGGAAGGGAGCAGAGAAAAGCACTAAAATTAGACTCCTGAGGGAGAGGCACAAGGACATTGAAAGATGGAGATGTGGGGATGAATTGCAGAGATTCCAAAGAGAACTAGAGAGACCGAGAGGCAGAGCAAGACAGATGATAGATGGATAGATATAGATAGATGATAAATAGGTAGATGATAGATAATAGGTTATAGATACATAGATGATGATTGATTGATTCATTAATAGATGAGACATAGAGATGATGATGATGAAGACAGATAGATAGATAATACATAGAGATACAGAGGCAGACATAGAGAAATCATAGAGAGAGAGAGATGATACATAGATATAGATAATAGATGATTGATGGATAGATAGACAATTGATGGATAAATAGATGATATATAGATATAGATGACAGGTAGAGAATTTGTAGATAGGCACCGAATAGATAAATAGATAGATCGATAGATAATAGATAGAAATATGCAGAAAGTTATGAACAGGACACAAAGTGAGAAACTCAGAATTAAAAAAAGTAACATCAAGTCAACCAATCCAAGGAGAGTCAGAGAGAATAAAACAATCCAAAAAGAGAAAACATATCTAGAGGTGGGGAAGTGAGGTCAGAGACCTAGAGAGACAGAGAAGGTGGAAGGAGGAAATAGACATGAAGAGCGATGGGGTAGAGGGTGAGAGAGAGAGAGAGAGAGCATTAGGTCATAGAACAGGGGAGTGAGTTCTCAGCTCAGGTGAAGGGAGCTGTGACAAAGAAGATCCTCCCTGAGGAAACTGCCTCTTCTCCTTCCAGGTCTATATGAGAAACCTTCTCTCTCAGCCCAGCTGGGCCCCACGGTTCTGGCAGGAGAGAATGTGACCTTGTCCTGCAGCTCCCGGAGCTCCTATGACATGTACCATCTATCCAGGGAAGGGGAGGCCCATGAACGTAGGCTCCCTGCAGGGCCCAAGGTCAACGGAACATTCCAGGCTGACTTTCCTCTGGGCCCTGCCACCCACGGAGGGACCTACAGATGCTTCGGCTCTTTCCATGACTCTCCATACGAGTGGTCAAAGTCAAGTGACCCACTGCTTGTTTCTGTCACAGGTGAGGAAAGCCCATGGCTGTCCCATGTCCTATGATCCTAGAGCCTTAGCTGAGGAGCTTCCTGCTGAGGATGGAGAGAAGCATGGACAGATGCAGAGAGAAGACGCAGCCTCGGTGTGAGGGAGGGATCAGGGCACAGGATGGCCGACAGGGCACCTCCAAACCCTCCTACATGGCCTGCATGGAGGCCCACGGCCAGGGCTCCAGGCACCCAGGCAGATGGAGAAAGCGGTCAGGAGAGACCCAGAGGAGGGAGACTGGGCTCAGTTTGGGGAGATCAGAGGTTCCCTCAGCCCCTCAACCTTACCCATTTCCCAGAAGCCCATCCTGGCCTCTCACCCACACAGAGATGTCATCACCAGCAACCCCTACACCCTTTACTTTTCTTTGAAGAAATATTTATTGAGGATAAATATACCTATATAGCTTACCACTTTTAACATTTTTTTTTGAGGTGGAGTCTAGCTCTGTCCCCTATGATGGAGTGCAGTGGCACAATCTCAGCTCACTGCAACCTCCGCCTCCTGGGTTCAAGCGATTCTCCTGCCTCAGCCACCTGAGTAGCTAGTGCTACAGGCACGCACCACCACGCCAGGCTACTTTTTGTATTTTTAGTAGAGAGGTGGTTTCACCATGTTGGTCGAGCTGGTCTCGAACTCCTGACCACGTGATCCACCCGCATCAGCCTCCCAAAGTGCTGGGATTACAGGCATGGGCCACCAGGCCCAGCCACATTTACCATTTTTAAGTGTAAAGTCTAGTGGTCATAAATACATTTTTATATATATATATATATACATTTTTTTTACCCTCCACCCTTTTCTTCCTGTCCTCCAGTAGCCACCATTCTACTCTCTACCTTCATGAGATCCACCTTTTAGCTCCTGTATATGGGTGAGAAATGGGAATCTTTTTAATGACCTCCAGTTCCATCCATGTGGCTGCAAATGACAGGATGTTATTCTTTCTATGGATGAGTAGTCTCCACTGTGCGTATGTACTACATTCTCTCTATCCATTCACCCACTGATGGGCAGGTAGGTTGACTCCTCATCTTGGCTACTGTGAACAGTGCTGCACCAATCATACGAGTGCAGATATCACTTCGATATGTTGATTTACTTTCCTTTGGATATAAACCCAGTAGTGAAATTGCTGGATACTATGAAAGTTCTCTTTTTTTTTTTTTTTTCTTTTTTGAGAAAGAGTTTCCCTCCTTAGCCCAAGCTGGAGTCAAAGTGGTGCAACCTTGGCTCATTGCAACCTCCGCCTCCTGGGTTCAAATGATTTTCCTGCCTCAGCCTCCCTAGTAGCTGGGATTACAGGTGCACACCACCATGCCTGGCTACTTTTTGGTTTTTTTAGTATAGATGCGGTTTCCCCATGTTGGCTGGGCTGCTCTCAAACTCATGACCTCAACTGAGGTGCCCGCCTCAGTCTCCCAAAGTGCCGGGATTACAGGCATGATCCACCTCACCCAACCTCTTTTTAGTTCTTTAAAGGACTTCCATACTTTTCTCCGTAATGGCTGTACTAATTTACACTCCTCCCAACAGGGTACCAGGGTTCTCCTTTCTCTACCACCTTGCCAGCATTTCTTTTGCCTGTCTTGCAGCTAAAAGCCATTTTATTTTATTTCATTTTATTTTGAGATGGAGTTTTGCTCTTCTCACCCAGGCTGGAGTGCAGTGGCGCTATCTCGGCTCACCACAACCTCCACCTCCCAGGTTCAAGCGATTCTCCTGCCTCAGCCTCCCGAGTAGCTGGAATTACAGGCACACGCCACCACGCCCTACTAATTTTTGTATTTTTAGTAGAGACAGCGTTTCTCTATGTGGGTCAGACTGGTCTCAAACTCCCAACCTTATGAGATTCACCCACCTCAGGTTCTCAAAGTTCTAGGATGACACAAGTGAGCCACCTCACCCGGCCTAAAAGCCATTTTAATGGGGTGAGATGAAAACTCACTTTGATTTTAATTTGCGTTTCTCTGATGATGAGTGATACTGAGCACTTTTTCGTATGTGGGGAAATTTCATGTCTTTTGCTCCTTTTTCAATTAAATCATTTGTTTTATTGAGTTGTTTGAGCTTCTTATATTTCTAGTTATTAATCCCATCTCAGATGCATAGTTTGCACATATTTGCTCCCAATCTGTGGGTTGTCTCTTCACTTTGTTGGTTTATTTTTAGCAGTGCTGAAGTTGCTTAGTTTGAGGTAATCCCAATGGTCTATTTTTGCTTCGATTACTTGTGTTTTGAAGGTTTAAAACAAAATGTCTTCCTTCAGACAAACGTCCTGGAGCATTTCCCCAATATTTTGTTCTACGTGTTTCATAGGTTCAGGCCTTAGACTCACATCTTTAATCCATTTTCATTTGATTTTTGTGTATGGTGACAGGTAGAGTTGCAGTTTCATTCCTCTGCATGTAGATGTCCAGGTTTCCCTGCACTGTTTATTGAAAAGACTGTCCTTTCCTGATTGTGAGTTCTTGGCATCTTTGTCAAAGTCCATTGGATGGGCTGGGCTTGGTGGCTAACACCTGCAATTTCAGCACTTTGGGAGCCCGAGGTGGGTGGATCACCTGAGGCCAGGAGTTCAAGATTAGTCTGGCCAACGTGATGAAACATCGTCTCCACTAAAAATATAAAAATTAGCTGAGCATGGTGGTCAGCACCTGTAATACCACTACTCAGGAATTTGAGGCAAGAGAATGATTGAACCCAGGAGGCTGAGGTTGCAGTGAACCGAGATTGCACCTCTGCACTCCAGCCTGAGTGACAGAGCAAGACTCCATCTCAAAAGAAAAAATAAAAAACCATTGGATGTAAATGCATGGAATATATCTGTGTTATTCATTCTGCTCCGTTGTTCTATGTGCCTTTCTTTATGCCAATGTCATGCTATTTTGCTTACTACAGCTCTGTAACATATTTTGAGATCAGGTAGTGTGATGCTCCTGTTTTCTCTTTATATCTTGAAGTCTCAAGACAGTGGGTGTCATATAAAAAAATTATGGAAAAAAGGATCCCAGGACTCCCAGGGCTCAATATTAGATAAGAGAGTGTTGGCCATGAACCATCCTCAAAGATTTCCACTGAGTGGAGGACAGACACCCTCATTTCCTCACCTCTCTCCTGTCTCATGTTCTAGGAAACCCTTCAAATAGTTGGCCTTCACCCACTGAACCAAGCTCCAAAACCGGTGAGTACAGAACCCTCTTATATCCGCTTTTGGAACCCTGGGGAGGTGGGAACCTTGGATTCAGGCGTTGACTCAGCATCTCACAGCTCTGACATTGTACACTTGTCTTCCACCATCTCCGAACTCCAGATACTCCTACAGCGAAAGGGATCTGGGCCCAACACAGGGCTCAGTGAAATCTCTTCATCTCTCATTTTATGGAGCTGAGACCTCCTACAAGCTAGAAGAATGATTGCCAATCTGACATCCTTCTCAGGAAAAATGCAATGTTTGTTCTACCTGCATTCCTAACTGGAGGATAAATTCCTGGAGACTTGAGAGAGGGAAGGGAAGGGAACATCTGATGAGGGCAAGGTGTTTTAGAGAAGTTCCACTTGCCAAGGAATGAGCTCCTGTAGGTCATGAAGCAACCCTGGCTGACTCCGCAGAGAAAGAGCCTTGCCGTAACAGAGAACAGAGCTCATGCACGCACACTTCGACTCACTGACTCATTCAGCCACGGCCCCATGCTCAGGCTGTGCAGTGTGGAACCTTTTCCTATTGTTGCCATAACAAATTTCCACAAGATTCGTGGGTGAAAACAAAACGGTTTTTTAATTATCTTACAGTGCTGTAGCTCAAAGTAGGAAGTGCATCTTACTGGGCTAAAATCAAGGTGACAGCAAGGCTGCCTTCCCTCTGAGGATTCCAGGCACGAATCTGCTTCTCACTTGTCCCAGCTTCTAAAGGCTCCCAGTTCCTTGGCTCCTGGTCCCCTTCCTCCTTCCTCAAAGCCCACAAAGACTGGTCACATCTCACATGGCATCACTCAGTGCCTTCTTCCTTACCACACCTCTTTCTCTGAGTGCTGCTCTCCCTTCTTCCTCATCTTTTGAAAACTTGGGGATTCTATTGGGTTCACCAAGATGAAAATCCCTCATAATCTCCTGGAAATCATCCAGGATACCCTTGTTTTAAGTTCAGCTGATTAGCAACCATAATTCCATCTGCAATCTTCATTCCTCCTTTCCATGTAAAATAACATATTCACAAGCTATGGAGGCTAGGACAGGGACATTTTGGGGTGGGACAGCATTCTCCTGCCTTCCACAAACAGTGAACAAGATGCATTTGGCCTCTGCCCTTGGGACACTGATATTGCAGATGGTTAAATGGGAGGGCAGAAAATGAACGCACAAGTGGATCTATAAATGAATGGTCCATTGGGAAGCATCTGTGCATGAAATCTATTTTTTGTTTGTTCTTTTGTTTATTGAGACAGAGTCGCCCTCTGTCTTCCAGGCTACAGTGCAGTGTCACGATCTTGGCTCACTGCAACCTGCGTCTCCTGGATTCAAGTGATTCTCCTGCCTCCGCCTCTCGAGTAGCTGGGATTACAGGCAACTGCCACCGTGCCCGGCTAATTCTTTTTGTATATTTTTTGTAGAGAGGATGTTTCACCACGTTGGCCAAGCTTGTCTGAAACTCCCAACCTCAAGTGATCCGACCGTCTCAGCATGCCAAAGTAATGGGACTACAGGCGTGAGCCACTGTGCCCAGCCAGAATTCAAAATCAATAATAGATAATGCTGAGTGTATGATTTCAGGTGACAAAGAAGGTCTCACTATTCAGATATTTGTGACATTAATGAAAAACACGGAATGAACCCCTGAAAGATTGGCGGAAGGATTTTGCACACACAGCTGTCAGCCATGAAGGCACAAAGGTGAAAACAATCTGATGTGGAAGGAAGAGGCTCTGACTCAAATGCTGGGAATGAGGTGGGGAGAATGACAAGACGACTGTAGAGAGACGGAGAGCACACTGGGTACACAGGAAACTAAGGAGCAACAAGGAGTGTGTGTTTGACACTCACAGCCATTGGATTCACCTCGGGGTAACCAGGAATCCCTACATGATTAATATGACTGACATGAAAATAAGGGAGGCCCAGGTGCATAACTGGAATCTAGGAGACCGTGGAAAAGGCAATTGCCGCCCCACTGGTGAAATGTGGTGCTGATTTAGACACTAAATGAATGAAGTAGATGGATATAAGATATGTTTGTGAGGTAGAATCATTGACTGGAAAGGCTTACTGGGTTTGATTTTCCTACTTGTTTAATCCTCGCTTAATTAATTTCTTTCTGAGATTTATTCATCCTACACATAAATCAATACCTGGCAAAGGAGTGACAGATATATGAGTGGTGGTGGAAATGAAGAGACTTATTATAGCATAATATACAAGTCTGTGAACAGTGGCTCACGCCTGTAACCTAGCACTGCAGGAGGCCAAGGTGGGTGGATTCCATGAAGTCAGGAGTTCCAGACCAGCCTGGCCAACGTGGTGAAACCCTATCTCTACTAAAAATACAAAAATTAGCCGAGCACGATGGTGCATCCCTGTAATCCCAGCTCCTATTCTGGAGGATGAAGCAGGAGAATGACTTCAACCCAGTAGGTGGAGGTTGCAGTGAGTGGAGATTGCATCACTGCACTCCAGCCTGGGGGACACAAGGAGACTCTATCTCAAAAAATAAAAATAAGAAATACATAAATATAATAAAACACACACGAATGACAAAGGCACCTGAATTCCAATCATCGTTTTTCTATTTCTCTATAATTACTTCTTTGATCCTTTATCTTATCCATTAGGCAATGAGCCTAAAACCTCTTCCCTATTTGGCTTTCTGTGAGCATGAGATCATATAGAAAATGTGAAAGCCCGCTGAATCCTCCAGCACAGATCCTGGAATAGAGAAAGTGCTCTGGTCATCACAAAAAAAACTTGCCCACTCACCCAAATCCCCCACCTCACCCCTACTTCCAATCACCTGTGGAGATTCAGATAGACCATGGGGAGGTAAACATTAACACTCCTTGGAGTGAGTCCAGATCTTGGAATCAGAGATCAGCGACAGCACTAGCTCCTGCTCCCCTTTCCTACTAATTCACAGGAGGACAGGTGGTTTTGAAGCAATAGATGGCCGAGGGGGTGGTCCTTCCCCCAGCCTCTCGGGTAGAACAGCAGCCTAATATGTGTCTCCCGAGATCACAAAGAGCAGCAGGTTTCACACGGGCTTCAACACTATTTCCTGGCCGTTTGACATAAGAGAATTCTATTTCGCTTTTTTTATCTTGATTTCACTTTTGTTTTCTTTCCTTGGAGAATGCAAGTTGTTTGATTCAAGAATGCTGTGGATGTAGAAACCCTAAAGCACATTCGCTGTGAATCAATCCCAGTCCAGTCTTCCCAGAGAAGACTCTAAACACCTCCTGGACTGCACCTGGGCCTATGCCAATTCCTATCACTCACCGTCACTCCAGGGAGACAGAACACACAGAGAATACGTTACATAGGCAGGTTCATTACTAACAGATAAGCAGCGAGTGACAACAGAAACCTATATTTCAATGTGACCCAGTCCCTCAAGGCTCAGAAAAGCTCCTCGGGACATATGGAGTCACCCCATTTGCAGTGTAGCTGCGGGAAGCCAGAAAGCAGCCCAGCCTGGGTTTTGTACCCTGGAGCCACAGGAAGCACTCAGCTAAAGCACTGCATGACGTCCTCCAGGAAGAACAGGAAGACAGCCCAGGGTGTTCTGAGACGTTCCTCCTGATCTCAGGAAGTTGCTGTCTTAGGCCATTTTTGTTGCTCTAAAGGAACACTTGAGCCTCGGTAACTTCTAAAGAAAAGAGATTGGTTTGCCTCACCGTTCTGCAGGCTGTACTGGAAGCATGGCACCAGCATCTATTTCTCGTGACGGCCTCAGGCTGCTCCCACTCTGGCAGAAGGGAAGGAGGGTCTGTCTGTGCAGAGACCACAGAGATCACACGGCAAGAGAGGGAGCAAGGGGGAGGGGGAGTGATGGAGCTTCCAAGCTCTTTTTAACAACCAGCTCTCCGGGAACTAATAGAGGGGGAACTTGCTAACCCCGTCTCCTTGGGACAGCATTGATGTGTTCATGATGGATCCACCTCCATGACCCAAACACCTCTCAAGAGGCCCAACCTCCCACAGTGGGGGTGAAATTTCAATGTGAGGTTTGAAGGGGTCAAACATCTCAACTAAAGTAGTCGTATCCTCAGCACGTTCTATGGTTACTATGAGAGCTATAACTGAAAAAGCAGGAGAAAGCTGGGTCTCCTGCCATCTGGGTGCTTGTCCTAAAGAGGTGTTTTATGTGGTTACCTGTCAATCAAGAAATGCGAGACAATTCATAAAGAGGAACTGCTAAGATTAGCTTCTTATTGGTGTCTCATCTTCTTCCAGGTAACCCCCGACACCTGCACATTCTGATTGGGACCTCAGTGGTCATCATCCTCTTCATCCTCCTCTTCTTTCTCCTTCATCGCTGGTGCTCCAACAAAAAAAGTAAGTCTCACGAAGCAGAGGCCAGAGAGCTCAGGGCCATGTGGGGAAGCAGGATGGGAGCACTCAGGTGTGTGTTCCTCACAAACAGGATGGTCCCTGGCCCAAGGCAGCAGCCACAGAGGCAGGACTTTCTAGAGAGGGCACCAGACTCCCTGTCCCTGCCTTCAACTCACAGACCGTTGCCTGATTCTGAACTGTATCCCCATGTCCCCTGCAGCCACTCACATCCAGGAGAAGGTTCCATGACAGGCAGAAAGTGGGAGACAGAATCAATGGGATGGGAACTCAGAGCTATTCATGGGATGGGTCCTTGAGCTCAGAGAGATAGAATGTCTGAGTCTGCTGTTGGCAACTGAGGGACCTCAGCCACCTATGGTCTCCCCCTGTATGTTGGTATCTGCTTATGAAATGAGGACCCAGAAGTGCCCTCCGAGCTGTTTTGTTGACTTCCATCTTCTACAGATGCTGCGGTAATGGACCAAGAGTCTGCAGGAAACAGAACAGCGAATAGCGAGGTAGGTACTCCTCGGCCCGGGCTCGTGGCTACTGTTATTCCCAAAGAGTCCTGGAAAATGTGAGCACCCTCCCTCACTCAGCATTTCCCTCTCTCCAGGACTCTGATGAACAAGACCCTCAGGAGGTGACATACACACAGTTGAATCACTGCGTTTTCACACAGAGAAAAATCACTCGCCCTTCTCAGAGGCCCAAGACACCCCCAACAGATATCATCGTGTACACGGAACTTCCAAATGCTGAGTCCAGATCCAAAGTTGTCTCCTGCCCATGAGCACCACAGTCAGGCCTTGAGGGCGTCTTCTAGGGAGACAACAGCCCTGTCTCAAAACCGGGTTGCCAGCTCCCATGTACCAGCAGCTGGAATCTGAAGGCGTGAGTCTGCATCTTAGGGCATCGATCTTCCTCACACCACAAATCTGAATGTGCCTCTCACTTGCTTACAAATGTCTAAGGTCCCCACTGCCTGCTGGAGAAAAAACACACTCCTTTGCTTAACCCACAGTTCTCCATTTCACTTGACCCCTGCCCACCTCTCCAACCTAACTGGCTTACTTCCTAGTCTACTTGAGGCTGCAATCACACTGAGGAACTCACAATTCCAAACATACAAGAGGCTCCCTCTTAACGCAGCACTTAGACACGTGTTGTTCCACCTTCCCTCATGCTGTTCCACCTCCCCTCAGACTAGCTTTCAGTCTTCTGTCAGCAGTAAAACTTATATATTTTTTAAAATAACTTCAATGTAGTTTTCCATCCTTCAAATAAACATGTCTGCCCCCATGGTTTCGGTAATGGGACTCTTTTCTTGCCTAAGGCTTCCGGTGTTATCAGTACCATGTCCATATAATCCCATCTGTTCCCCACTGAGTTCTCATCCCCGGACTCTGAGTTTCTGGAAGCAGGGTGGAGCCTCATTTGTCTCTGGGACTCCAATTTCCATCCAAAGATGTAGCACATAGGAGGTTCCAAGGATCACGAATCATATGAACAAGTGATACTCTTACTCTCTGCAGACCTGGAAAGCTGGCAGAGTCATTCCACAATGAAACATTTGTAGAATCATAGGCCTTGTTAGTCTCATCTCCATGGGGACACATATCAACACATCATCTTTCATAATATAAATATACGGTCACTCCTCCATATCTGCGGGGTTTACAGGTGTTTATTGAACCAAGTATAAATCAAAAATATTGAGAGAAAGTATCCACAGAGTTTCAAAAAGCATAACTATGTTGAATGGACACAAATGAAGCTGTGTGTAGGCTGTATCAGGAATTATAAGTAATCTAGAGATGATTTCATGTATACAGGAGGATGTGCATAGGTTATTTGCAAACGCTGTGCCATTTCATATAAGAGGCTTGAGCATCTACAGATTTTGGTATCTGAGTGGAGATCTCAAAACCAATCACCCACGAATAGTGAAGGATGACCGTATATGACTTTTATTTCTCAAATTTAAATATAAATCATAAAAAATGTACAACTAGATAAAAACTAAGAAGTGTTTTTATAGTGTGAGTTAGATTTATTTTTTCCTAGGTGTAACCAATTGGTTTAATATTATTTATTGAGAAGACATTCTATGCCACCTTAAACCACACGGCAGCCTTTGTCAACTCTAAAGGGACTGTGTGTACATGGATGTATTTTAGACACTGTTTCTGCTAAGGGGCTCTCTGTGTCCACACTCTTGATGATGCTGCACTTTATGTAGCCTTATAGAACCCTTTAAATTTAGTAGCCAGAGCCCTCTAATTTGTTATTATAGGCTGTTTGCTTTTTTTTTCTTGAGGCGGAGTCTTGCTCTGTCGCCCAGGCTGGACTGCAGTGGCACAATCTCAGCTCACTGCAACCTCCGCCTCCCAGGTTCAAGCGATTCTCGTGCCTCAGCCTCTTGAGTAGCTGGCGTTACAGGTGCCTGCCACCAGGCACGGCTAATTTTTGGATTTTTAACAGAGACACGGTTTCACTATATTGGCCAGGCTGCTCTCAAACTCCTTATCTCAGTTGATCCGCCCACCTCGGCTTCCCAACGTGCTGGGGAAAACTTGATTTTCTATAGCATTATGTTACTGGATATTTCTGTAAAATTTAAAACGAGGGAGGGAGAGAGACAGACAGAGAGCAAACTCCAGAGTTGGGACTCTGGAATCTTGGGTCATGAGACAAATTTTAGATTAAACTACAAAACTCCAGAATTTACAGGTGTGGTTTTTGCTGATAAAGTACAATTCTAAGATTGTAAATAATTGCATAATCCTTCCCTGGGAATTTAAATCATTTTAGCTGGTTCTGCTGTAATACTAGAAATACAAGCATGAAAAATTCTAATGGTTTATTAGTCACAATGACTCCGAAAACATTAATAATACCTATTAGATACTTTGCATATTACACAGGAAGAAGAGTTTGAATCTCAGATAAAAACAAAAAAAATACATGAAAAGTCTTTCATGTTAGCACAGATTTTAGGCATCTCGTGTTCGGATAAAAATACATGAAAAGTCTTTCACGTTAGCACAGATTTTAGGCATCTTGTGTTCGGGAGGTTGGATCTGAGACGTGTTGTGAGTTGGTCATAGTGAAGGACGTGAGGTGCCAATTCTAGTGAGAACAATTTCCAGGAAGCCGTGTTCCGCTCTTGAGCAAGCATCCACTGGGCCTCATGCAAGGTAGAAAGAGCCTGCGTACGTCACCCTCCCATGATGTAGTCAACATGTAAGCTGCATGGGCAGGGCGCCAAATAACATCCTGTGCGCTGCTGAGCTGAGCTGGGGCGCGGCCGCCTGTCTGCACCGGCAGCACCATGTCGCTCATGGTCGTCAGCATGGCGTGTGTTGGTGAGTCCTGGAAAGGAATAGAGGGAGGGAGTGCCACATCCTCCTCTCTAAGGTGGCGCCTCCTTCTCCCCCAGGTGGTCAGGACAAGCCCTTCCTCTCTGCCTGGCCCAGCCCTGTGGTGTCTGAAGGAGAACATGTGGCTCTTCAGTGTCGCTCTCGTCTTGGGTTTAACGAATTCAGTCTGTCCAAAGAAGACGGGATGCCTGTCCCTGAGCTCTACAACAGAGTATTCCGAAACACCGTTTTCATAGGCCCTGTGACCCCAGCACATGCAGGGACCTACAGATGTCGGGGTTCACACCCACACTTCCTCACTGGGTGGTCAGCACCCAGCAACCCCCTGGTGATCATGGTCACAGGTCAGAGGGCTCCTGTCTGGGATTCTCCTTGTCCCACCTCCTGAGTCCCAGAGCTTCTGGTGGGAGTGTCCACCAGCGTCCCATCATCCAGACCCTAACTGTATTTGGGGTAAAAGGGGATTGAATACAGGGAAATGGGTGCTGTGGTGGAAAGAATAATTGTCCCCAATGATGACTGCATTCTAATCCCTGCAGTCTGTGACTATTTATGTTATAGGGGAAGGCACTGAAGGGGAAGATGGAGCTCAGGTTGTTGAGTTGACCTTGAGATGGGGAGACAGCCTGGACTGTCCTGCTGGGCTCAGTGTAATCACAAGGGTGCACATGAGAGGAGAAGGAAGAGGGGAGTGGCGATTAGAGCAGTGCAATGGAAGTCTCCATCAGCTTTGAAGGTGGAGGAAGGCCATGAGCCATGAATGCAGGTGGCCTATAGAGGCTGGAAAAGTCAAGGAACTGATTCTCCTGGGTCTCCAGAGGGAACGCAGCCCTGCAGATGCCTTGATTTTAGCCCTCAAAAAACAGGGTCCGATTTCTGTCTCCAGAAACGGAAGGGGTCAGTGTGCTCTCTCCTGCTGCCATGCTTCTGATAATTTTCCACAGCACCAACAGGAAACCAACACTGGAACCCAGGTCAAGGACAAGATAAGAAAGGACACAAGGATAGCCGGGCGTGGTGGCAGGTGCATGTAATCCTAGCAACTCAGGAGGCTGAGGGCAGGAGAATCACTTGAACCCAGGAGACAGAGGTTGCAGTGAGCCTAGACCACACCACTTCACTCCAGCCTGGGTGAAGGAGTGAGACTCTGACTCCAAAATTAATTAATTAATTAAAGAAACCAAACAAAGAGAAGGTTGGCTACACCGAGATCAGCAAGGGTGGGATGATGATGCCACCACCAGGCTCCATCCACATAGGGAGGGGTTGATACTCCTCAAACCAGCACCAGAAGCCAGCCTATGGAAGCTGGCACCATGGAGAAGGCACAGGCATGGCAAGAGTGGCTCCCAGTCCCCACCAGGAACAGGGTGTGTGGACACTGGTGCCTGCCTTACTGATCAGTTCATACCTTCTGCCAAGGATTCCAATTCGTCCAAAAGAGATTGAACCAGTCTGCTAAGAGCCTGGACGTGCAGCCTATCCTGGTTCCTCTTCCACCCCCACATAGAAGCAGGAAAGACATTAGTTCGAAATAGATACAACAGCCCAAGAGATGAGGCTGAGCCCAGCGGCAAGGGAATCAGGAGCTACTAGAGACAGAGGGACAGAGAAGAGGGAGGGAGACAGATGGAAGGACCTGTACCAGGAGTTATGGGCACAGAAAAGAACATGAAGACACAGAGAGGAAGGAGAGAGATAAGACACCAGCGAGGGGAAGCCTCACTCATTCTAGGTGCCATGGATGGGATGATAAAGAGAGATGCCTTCTAAAGTCACAACCTCTCTTCCTAGGAGTCCACAGAAAACCTTCCCTCCTGGCCCACCCAGGTCCCCTGGTGAAATCAGAAGAGACAGTCATCCTGCAATGTTGGTCAGATGTCATGTTTGAGCACTTCCTTCTGCACAGAGAGGGGAAGTTTAATGACACTTTGCGCCTCACTGGAGAGCTCCATGATGGGGTCTCCAAGGCCAACTTCTCCATCGGTCGCATGACGCAAGACCTTGCAGGGACCTACAGATGCTACGGTTCTGTTCCTCATTCCCCCTATCAGTTGTCAGCTCCCAGTGACCCTCTGGACATCGTGATTACAGGTGAGAGTGTCTGGACATTATTCTCATTGTCACTGGGACACAGAGTGAATGATCCACGACTTGGAGGCCCAGGTGGTTATAAGGAAGATGAGCTTGGTATTCTTATGGAGAGAGACTAACTTGGTGAGGTCTGTACCAACAGAGACAGAGAAACAGGAGACACAAGTACAGACCAGGTGTCATAACAGAGGACAGACACAGGGGCCATACAGGGAGTTAGAAAAGACAGAAAGAGTTAAAGGAGACACAGACAGACATGTGCCAGAGAGAGGTGTCCTTCCATGCTGACTTTGCTCAGAGACCTGGCACAGGTTAGAAGTTTCATTTCTGTTTTACTTCCACAAAGTGTTCTCTACCAGAAGAACCCAAGGACACCCATATTTCTGGCCTGAGTTGGGCCCTGTGGCCTCAGGCCTTCTGGCACCTACAGATGCCGTGTTTATTCTGACACCTCTGCCTTCCATGCAATGGAGAGTAATCGTCCCAGGATATCATGGCCCCAGAACATCAACCCCTGTATACTGTGTGAACTTGCGGTCCCCAGACTGGATTCTGAGGCTCACATTCCAAATAACCCCACATATGAGAGGATCACTGAGAGACACAGAGAGAAATCAGGGACACCAAAAAGCAAAGACATAAACACACAGAGAATGAGCCAGAGGAAGGAGATTGAGAGACTCACAGACACATAAAGAGGGAGAAAAGAGGGCAGAGAAGTGGAGAGAACAATGGAAGGGAACAGAGAAAAGCACTAAAATTAGAGTCCTGAGGGAGAGACACAAGGACATAGAAAGATGGAGATGTGGGGATGAATTGCAGAGATTCCAAAGAGAACTAGAGAGACCGAGAGGCAGAGCAAGACAGATGATAGATGGATAGATATAGATAGATGATAAATAGGTAGATGATAGATAATAGGTTATAGATACATAGATGATGATTGATTCATTCATTGATTAATCGATGATACATAGAGATGATGAAGATGAAGATAGATAGATAATACATAGAGATAGAGAGGCAGACAAAGAGAAATCATAGAGAGAGAGAGACGATACATAGATATAGATAATAGATGATTTTTGGATAGACAATTGATAGATAAATAGATTATATATAGATATAGATGACAGGTAGAGAATTTGTAGATAGGCACCAAATAGATAAATAGATATATCGATAGATAATAGATAGAAATATGCAGAAAGTTATGAACAGGACACAAAGTGAGAAACTCAGAATTTAAAAAAAGTAACATCAAGTCAACTAGTCCAAGGAGAGTCAGAGAGAATAAAAGAATCCAAAAAGGGAAAACATATCTAGAGGTGAGAAAGTGAGGTCAGAGACCTAGAGAGACAGAGAAGGTGGAAAGAGGAAATAGACATAAAGAGAGATGGTGTGGAGGGTGAGACAGAGAGAGAGAGCATTAGGCCATAGAGCAGGGGAGTGAGTTCTCAGCTCAGGTGGGAGGGGAGTTGTGACAAGGAAGAACCTCCCTGAGGAAACTGCCTCTTCTCCTTCCAGGTCTATGTGGGAAACCTTCTCTCTCAGCCCAGCCGCGCCCCATGGTTAAGGCAGGAGAGAGCGTGACCTTGTCCTGCAGCTCCCGGAGCTCCTATGACATCTACCATCTATCAAGGGACGGGGAGGCTCATGAACTTAGGCTCCCTGCAGTGCCCAAGGTCAATGGAACCTTCCAGGCCAACTTTCCTCTGGGCCCTGCCACCCACGGAGGGACCTACAGATGCTTCGGCTCTTTCCGTGACTCTCCCTACGAGTGGTCAGACCTTAGTGACCCACTGCTTGTTTCTGTCACAGGTGAGGAAACCAGTCTGTTCCCCAAATAGTGGGACTCAGATGGACTACAATGGCCACATTCAGGGGAGCCTCAGATGGAGGGGGTGGCCATGGGGGTGTCAGCCAGAGATGCTGGACAGAAGAGACACAAAGCAAACATACAGAAAGAGGCATAGACAGACAGACAGAGCGAGGCAGACAGATCACATTAGGGTTTGGGGTGGTAACTGCAACCCTACCTGAAGCTTGCAGATAGAGCACAGGCCACATAAACCACTTCCCAGTCTTTGTACAGAAGCCCACCTGGGACACATGTAAACAGCATCAATGCTGACTCAGGAGCATGAAAGGCCGGGCTCAGATTGGAAAGACTAGAGGTAGCATTGGCCGCCCGCCATTGCCCATTTCCAGAAGCCCCCACCTCTCACCAAAGAGTGATTTCCACATGGGGGGCACAGATGCAACCATCGTTGGGGGAGCCCCAATGTCTCTTGATGGGAGGCATTTTCCACCCTAGATGTTTTTTGCTCTCTCCACACCTTGGAGACTCAGTGGGGGAGTCTTCTCTGGGGACTCGGGGAGGGCCTCCCTGGGACTCGCAGGATTTCCAAGCTAGATGACAACATGACAGGTGGAAACAGGCCCATTCCTTCGCCAGGGGCCCCAAGCTCCATCCCAGGAGATGAGAAGAGGCTCTTCTCATTGGTCAGTGGATCCCTGAGGGGACAGAGGCTCAGCACTGAAGGCTGAGAAGGATCTGCCACTTCGCTCAGTGGCCTCAAGCCAGACATCTTCCCTACAGACTTGCAGTGATTCTCCATCAGCATTTAGGGCTGTGGCCACCAACCTGGGTGTTGGTCTGTAGGAACTTTTCATTTCTGACCTTCCATAACTGAGTTCTCTTCCTAAATGTGGAATGCCTTGTACTCCATGTTACTCTCTCCCCAGAAAGAATGTGTGGCTTGTCTGCTCTCCAGCCCTGTCATGGAGATTGATAATCCTTAGGGAGCAAGAGGAGAGGGAAAGAACAAAGTATGAGACCACCTAGGTGCTACTGGTTGAGGTTCCATTTGCCAGTGAAGGGACTTCACTCAGCCGAGGGGGCAACTCAGGGAAGTCAGCCGAGGGAGGGCATTAGAGTAGAGAGAACTGAGCTCACCCAGTAAATGACCCCTTCACTAACTCATTCATCTAATATTTATTTCACACCTACCATCAGTTCTCTCTGTTTCATGGCCAGGAGTAGACAGCACGGCCAAGCTCCTGGGTTCATGATGCTCACATTGCTGTGGGGTGGGAGAGAGAGGCAGAACATGAATGAATGAATGAGAGAATGAATGAATGAGTGAATGATGGAATGAGTGAATGAATGAATGAATGAATGTATGAATTAGTGAGTGAATCCTTAGCACTTGGTGAAAGTGCCATGCACAGAATGAAATGAATGAACGTGGAACGTTGTCATTTGGAGTGTACAGGAGGGAATGTCTCACTGAGACCTCATCAGAGAGATCACATTTAAACTCCGATCTTAGAGACAAGAGGGAGTGAGCCCTGGGGAGTGTGTTGAAAGGAACTTTCATGGACTTAGGACATTGGGGATGACCCTAATGTGAGAATGAGCTTGGTGTGTTCCAAGAAGTCCATGGACCTGCCATATGGTGAGGGCTGGTCAGAATCCAGAGAGATTTCTAAATGCCCTTGTGCTTGTAAGGAAAGTGAGTCCTGTGGTTGGGAGTGGACTTATACCTTGGGTCAGGTCCAGCAATTATCTTTCTAAATCCTCTCTAATTGCCTGAACCACTTCTATCAACAACTGAGAAAAGAGGAGTGTTAAACACCCCACTGTGGCCGTGGATTTGCCTACCTGTCCATTTATTTCCGCGACTCTTCCTCCATGTATATTTGCAGGAATATTACTGGGAGTGGTTAAGTGTAAACTGATTATATATTCCTGGTAAATTTAAAATGCTATAAATTTACCTGCTTTTTTCCTACATTTTATGCTTAATGTTTTCCGCTGATTTTTCCCAAAGACTAATTTTGTCTAATTTTAATATAGTTATACCACATTTCTAACAGTGATTGCTTGGTATATTTCTACATTGTTTAATTTCAAACTCCATGAATTGTTAACATTGAGATGTGTCCTTTGTAAATTTCAAACAATTCGCCTTAGAAAGTAAGACTTTCTGACAATCTTTTGTTCATGTTTGAGCAGTTCTTCCAATCATATTTTTGTTATTATTACGTTGTGTTTTCCTGATTCCCTTTTTTTCCCACTGACTTCTGTGGTTTTCTATTTCAAACATTCTATTTTTGATCTATGTCGTTTAGGAATACATATATGGTGTACTCATCCTGAAGTTGTTACATATTTTTAAAATTGAAATTAATCATTTCAGAGATTAAACTGCAAATATAAAAACATATTTCCACTCTTCCTGTGTAAGAACAGGATTTTAGAGCATATTTAGTACATATGTTTGTATTTACTTATATGATGTTTTGTTTTGTGGTATACATAATTCTATCTTTTTCAGAAATTACACAGGGGCGTGTTTTCATACACTATCGTATGGTCCATATTCATTTTTGGCATAGCCATATTTTTAGTTCTTCCTCTGCTCTTAGTTATTGTCAGAATCTTCGACACCCCATCTGGTTTCACTTTCTTTATCTTTGAGGCACGGTCATCAGAATTTCCTTTAGGGTCAGTGAGAAAAGCTTTCTTTGCCCTTTTGTCTTTCAGTTCTGTTTCTTTCCTGCGTTGATCTTGGACAGTAACTGTACTATGTAAGGAATTGTCGGTGGCTGGCGACGGTATCTTAGCTGGGTAAAGATGCTATTCTACTGGCTTATGTTTTCCTTTTTTCTGTGGGGAAGACAATGCTTGGCTCCCTATAAATCCTTACCAGCTGATCCTTTTCCTCTGGCTAATTTTAAGGGTTGGTTGTGCTTTTATGCTGCTTTTCTGTAATGTTGAACGTGAGGTGTGTTTACTTCATTCTGCCTGGCATTCACTGGATTTCTTGAACCTGTGGATTGATGGATGTGTCTACTTCCTCCAAATAATCAACAATTGCCTCTTTAAAGATTGCTTCTGACCTGTTTTCTCGTTCTTTCTTTTTGGAACTCAAGTTAGGAGCATTCTAAAACTGTTGTCAATTTTTACCCTGTCACAAAACTGCTCTTTCTTGTTTCAGTTATTTGCTTTTTCTGTGCATTAATATTGATGGTTTCCTCTGTCATAGAGGATAAATACTCTCTTCACTGTTGTGTACACAACATTTTAACTAGTTATTCTGGTTTAAATTTAATATTGACTTTATCTACATATCACAATTGATTACTGTGTACAGACTTTCTTTTCTATTAGTATAAATTTATGAGGTACACTTGTAATTTTGTGACATGAGTATGTTGCAGAGTAGTGAAGTCAGGACTTTTACTATATCCATCACCCAAATACCGTACATTGTACTCATTAAGCAAATTCTCATCACTCACCCACGTCCCGCCACCCTCCAGCCTTCTAGCCTCCGCTGTCCGTCATTCCACACTCTACGTCCATATGTACACATTACTCCCCTCCCATGTAGAGTGAGAAGATGTGGTATTTGTCTTTCTGAGTGGTTTTATGTAAAATAATGGCGTCCAGCTCCATCTATGTTGCTGCAAAAGACATGGTTTTATTTTTATGACCAAATAGTATTTCGTTGTGTATACACGCATCCTTTTTTTAATCCAATCATTCATTCACAGACACTTAGATTGATTTCATATCTTTGCTATTGCAAACAGTGCTGCAATAAACATACAGGTGCAGGTATTTTTTGAGTAGATACCCAGCAGCGGGACCCCTAGATCGAATGGTGCTTCTATTTTTGGTTCTCTGCCAAATTTCCATACTGTCTTCCATAGAGGCTATACTAATTTACATACCGGCCAACAGTGTATAAGAGTTTCCTTTTCTCTGCATCCTTGCCAACACCTGTTATATGTTTCACTTTTTCTTTTTTTCTTTTTGAGATGGAGTCTTCCACTGTCACCCAGGCTGGAGTGCAGTGCCGCCATCTCCACGCGCTGCAACCTCCACCAACCAGGTTCAAATGATTCTCCTGCCTCAGCCTCCTGAGTAGCTGGGATTACAGAACCACACCACCATGCCCAGCTAATCTTTTGTATATTTAGTAGAGATGGGGTTTCACTATGTTGGTCAGGCTGGTCTCAAACTCCTGACCTCATGATCCACCCGCCTCAGCTTCCCAAAGTGCTGGGATTACAAGCGTGAGCCACCACTCCCCACCAGCATTTTTAGTAATAGCCATTCTGACTACTGTAAGATGATATCTCATTGTGGTTTCAATTTGCATTTCTCTGATGATTAGTGATGTTCATACGCTGTTTGGCCATTCGTATGTCTTCTTTTGAAAAATGTCTATGTATATCCCTTTGCCCACTTTTTAATGCTATTATTTGAGGGGTTATGTTTAGTTGTTTGAGTTGCCTAGAAATTCTGGATGTTAGTCCTCTGTTGGGTGCATAGTTTGCAAACATTTCCATTCATTCTGTGGGTTGTCTGTTCACCCTGCTACTATTTCCTTTGCTTGGCAGAAGCTCTTTCGTTTATTAAGTCCCATTGGTCTAGTTTTATTTTTATTGCCTGTGCTTTTGAGGTCTTAGTGATGAATTCTTTGCCCAGACCAATGCCCAGAAGAGTTTCTCTTTGGGTTTCCACCGGTGATTTTATAGTTCTGGATTTACATTTAAGCTGCTAATTACCTTAAGTTAATTTATGTGTATGATTACAGATACAGGTCCAGTTTTATTCTTCTGCATATGGCTATTTAGTTTTCCCAGCACCTTTTATTGAAAAGGAAATCTTTCTCCAGTGTATGTTTTGTTAACGTCGTCAATGATTATTCACTGTAGATATGAGGCTGTATTTCTGGGCTCTCTATTCTGGTCTATTGATCTCTGTTTCTGTGTCTATACCAGCACTGTGCTATTTAAGTTACTATAGCCTTAGAGCATAGTTTGAAGTCAGATAGCGTGATGCCTCCAGGTTTCTACATTCACCTAGAATTGCTTTCTCTATTAGGATCTTTTTTGGTTCTGTATGAATTTTAGGATTGCTTTTTCTAATTCTGTGAAAGCTGGTGTTACTATTTTCATATAAGAATTGCACTGAATCTGTAGATTGCTTTAGGCAGTATGGTCATTTTAACAATATTAATTCTTATGATCCATGAGCGTGGGATTTTTTTTCTTTTTTTTTTTTGTATTATCTATAATTGCTTTCATTGGTGTCTTACACCTTTCCTGGTACAGCTCTTTCACCACCTTGGTTAAATGTATTCCTGAGTGTTTTAATTTTGCGTATCTATTGTAAACGGCATTGCCTTCTTGATTTGGTTCTCAGCTAGATCATTATAGGTGTAGAGAAATGCTACCGGCTTTTACATATTGATTTTGTATTCTGAAACTTTACTTAGTTCATTTATCAATCATAAGAATTTTTGGCAGGGTCTTTAGGATTTTCTAGATTTAAGATCATAGCATCAGAAATAAAAATAATTTTACTTCCTCTTTTCTAATTTGGATTTTTAATTCTTCCTGTTGCCCAATAGCTCTGACAAGGCTTCCAGTACTATGTTGATAGGAAGTGGTGGATGTCCGTGTCCTTGTCTTGTGCCAGTTCTCAGAGGAGTGCTTTTAACTTTTCCTGTTCAGTATGATGTTGACTCTAGATATGTCATCTATGGCTTTTATTATTTTGAGGTATGTTCTTTCTATGCCTAAGTTTTTGAGGGTTTTCATCAGGTAAGGATGTTGAATTTCTTTTCAGATGCTTTTCTTTATGTCTATTGAGATGATCATATGGTTTTTGTTCTGGATTCTGCTCGTTCTTCTAAGTGGATGAGACATGCCAGAAAAGCATTTAGTCAGCCATCTTGGAAACAAGCATCTCAGATGTTTTCTTTCTCTATAGCTCATTCTTTCTTACCAGTGTTTTCAATTTTGTACTTAATTTTGTAAAGAGAGTAAATGATATAATTTCCACATATGTTTCCTCTGCCAAATCAGACTCACTATGCTTCCTTTCCTTGTATGCATAACCTACCCAGCAATACACACAAACATTTATTGCTTTGGAGAATTAGTTTGGGAACATTTTTGAAATGTACAAAAAAATGTATATCTTCAAAAGAAATTTCTTTTTGTGGCAAAAGACTTCTGAAGGTGCTCATGATGATATAGGGAGAAGAGGGGTTCTGGACAGGAAGAATTTTATGAAGGTGAGATGGGGAAATAGCTCCATTTCAGAGCTTCTGGGGAGAGAGGGGCCTGGCCCACATGGAAAGGTCTCTGATCTTACCCCCACCCTCCAGCCCCTGTTCTCCAGAACTATACTGTGGAGAGTTCCATCAGGATTGTTGTGGCTGGTCTGGTCTTCCTGGCTCTTTTGGCAATGCTGGCTAAGACCTGGTGGAGACATGAGGGGCCACAGGTGGAAATGGAAGAAACATGACTGAAGCTGGCTGGAGTGAATGGCGCGACATTCTGTCTGTGGGAGATTGGCCAGATGGGTTTCAAGTGTGTTGTATCAGCTGTGACTTTTAGTAATGTTCTTGCTACCACAATATCCACTCGTCCATCCCGAATAATTGTGATGAAATATTGTCCTTGGGATAATATTCATTTGCTAAAGACAGGGATGATACCTCAAGGTGCCACTATATACATCGAGGGGATCCACAAAAGTCCATTCAGTAAAATGTAGTTGGCATCTTAGGGTAGGTTGATTCCACCTCTAAAAAAGTAGGTACAACATCAGGTTGATTTTTCCGAAGAAAAGTGGTGATTGGCCATCTTTAGTCTCAATGTAAACGGTAATACTGATGAGTGTGGAAAAGGCAGGGAAGAGGATTGACAATAAGTGACACTCATTGTTTTCATCTGAGCTTTGAGACTGAAAGAGGAACACAGGAGTGAGATGTATGGGAACAAACCCCTTCTTTTTCCAGCTAAACAGAGTGGAAGTTGGACACTGAGTTTTGGCGTACAGCAAAATCCTAAGTCCATTGTTGGGTTGAACACGGCCATGTTGTACATCCTGGTTTCACAGCAGACACTGGAGGAAAACAGCCTGTATTCATAAGAGGCTGTCCCTCGGGTCACTGCCCAGAATATCCGGAGTTGGTGCTCACAGGGTTGGGAACTCTCCTGGACCAGACAGGCTCTGGATATGGGGGGGTACCAAGCTCCCCGGGGCCATGCCTCCACAGCTCTCTTCTCACCTCATTCTTGACCATTTCCCAAACCTCTGACCTCACCTTCATTCATCCATGGTGAACACGCTAAAGCTGGCCTTCAAAGCTTGAGACAGAGGAAAATTGGGCTTCATCTCTGGGAACTAAATTGGGGAGTGGAGACTCAGTTCTGGCCTGACAGGAGGGAGAAGACCCTGGATCCCAGTGTGGATGGGAAGAAGTATGTGTTTCTCTTTTGTGCTTGGACCCTGTGTCCAAGCATGTCTGAGATGTGATGAAGATGAATCTTCCTTTCCTTGTCTATTTTCTCATGCCAGAGAATTGGAATCTTATATTCCATTAACTCTTTCTGTTCTGTTCATCCAGATTCTATGAAGGAGAAAGGAAAAGATGTGATACTGTAATTTTGCTCCATTTGTCTAAAATGAGTAGGCTGCAACTCCTCTTGAAGTGATACCTTTTCTAGCTCTTGTTGGAGGTGTCTCAGGACTCATTACTTCGGGGAACCTGCAACTGTGTCAGTCTGGGGAAACTGCAAATATTCTTGTCTTACATTTGTCTCCAGCCAATTGTGATGGACTCCAGTGACCTGCAATTGCTGTTATTGCAGGTAAAATGTACCTGAGTCAGGCCACAGTTCTCCTGGACTATGAGCCCCTGGCCATGTTCCTGAGGCAATTCTGTTCATCTAAATATAATAATAATAACACACTAAAAATGGCAAGCCATTGTTAATTCCTGAAGTCTCATTTGAAAATTACTAAATGTCTGTTATTTTTTGGTGTTTACATTATATGTAGACAGATAAACTACACACACACACACACACACATGCACACAGAAGAATGGATTGGTTCATGTAGAAAAGTAAATAATTCAAGATGAAAGGATGAAATGTCATGGCACCTACTATTCTATTTTAGATAAAGGGTCTATGAAAAGATTGATTTCTTTTTATGTTTTATTTGTTGACATTTGAACACAAACTATGTAAGTGAGGGAGTCGATTTGAAAGGGAGAAGAGCAAGTTCAAACACATTCAGGTGAGGTCATGCTTTACATGTTTTAATTGAAATGATCCATCTTGGGAGTAGATCAATAACTGAGATGGTGCCAGGAATGTTAAAAAGCTTTTGTCAGTCCTAAATATTGACAAATAAAATTTAATTAAAGTCTTAGAAGAAAACACAAAGGAAAACTTCACAACATCGGATTTGGCAGTGATTCTTTAGATGTGACAACAACGGCACAGGCTACTACAGAAAAAATAAACAAGTTAGACTTTATGAAAATTTTGAAATATTGTGACTCAAAAGACAACATCAGTTACTTCACATGGCAAGGAAAAAGAACTTTTAAGACGATATTATCAAAGTAAAAAGACAACCCACAGAATGGGAGAAAATGTTTTCAAACCACACCACCTGTAAGGGATTAACATCCAGAATATACAGACAACTCCTAAAACTCAATCACAATAAACTCAATTCAAAAATGGGCAAAGTACTGAAACAGACATTTCTCCAAAGAACATACGCATGACAAGATATTCAGCATCACGAATCATTAGGGAAATACTAACTAAAACTACACCAGATGCCATTTCATACCCCTTAGGATGGGTATCATCAAAACAACAACAACAACAACAACAACAAAGTTTCTATACATTAACAACAAACTATCCAAAAAAGTTTACAAGAAAATAAGCCCATTTGCAATAACTACAGAAAACAAAACATGCAGGAATAAATTCACCCAAGGAGTAGAAAGATCTGTATGCAAAAGCTATAAAACATTGATGAAAAAACTCAAGAAATAAACAAATAAATCGAAAGATATTCCATGTTCACGGATCAGAAGGATTAATGTTGTTAAAATGTCCATTCTATCCAAAGTGATTCAATGCAACCATTATCAAAAATCCAATGACATTTTTTTTTACAGAAATAGAAAAAACAGTCCTAAAATTCATGTGGAACCACAAAAGATCTCAAATAACCAAAGCCATCTAGAGGGAAAGGAACAAAGTTGGAAGCATCACATTACCTAAACACAAACTACATTACAAAGTTACAGTAATTAAAACAACACAGTACTTGCATAAAAACAGACACATAGACCAATGGAAGTGATTCATAGCCCAGGAAAAAAAATGCACGCATTTAGGGTCAAACAATTTTTGGGATGTATCAAGAACACACAATGGAGAAGGAACAGTCTCTTTAATAAATGGGATTGGGAGACATGCAGAAGAATGGAAGTGGACATTTGCCTCACAAAACATACAAAGTCAACTCAAGATAGATTAATGACTTAAATGTAAGATGAAAGACTATCATCCCAGCAATTTGGGAGGCCAAGGCGGGCAGATCACCTAAGGTCAGGATTCCAAGACCAGCATGGCCAACATGGTGAAATCCCGCCTCTACTAAAAATACAAAAACAGCTGGGTGTGGTTGTGGGTGCCTGTAATCTCAGCTACTCGGGAGGTTGAGACAGGAGAATCACTTGAACCCAGGAGGTAGAGGTTGCAGTGAGCCGAGATCGCATCACTGCACTCCAGCCGGGGCAACAGAGTGAGACTCCATCTTAAAAAAAAAAAAAACTACTAAAAGAAATCAAGGGAAAACTCCACTGGCTTGGGCAAAACCATTTTGGATATTAACCCAAAGGCCCAGGCAACAAAAGCAAAAGTAGACAAATAACATTATATCAAATTGAAAGTTTCTGCAAAGAAAAAAAAAAACTCAACAAGTGGAAAGACAACCTATGGAATGGGAGAATATATTTGCACCCATACATCTAATAAGGAATTAATATCCAAAATATATAAGAAACTCAAACAACTCAATGGTAAGAAATCAAATAACCCAACTTAAAAAAATGGGCAAAGTATCTGAATAAACATTTCTAAGAATAAGACAAATCACCAAAAGGTATATGAAAAAATGATTAGCATTACTAAACATCAGCTAAATAAAAATTAAAACTAGAATGAGATATCACCTCACACCTCTTAGAATGACCATTAACAGTCTGGGCATGGTGGCTCATGCCTGTAATTCAGGCACTTTGGGAGGCCGAGGCAGGGAGATTACCTGAGGTCAGCAGTTCGAAACCAGCCTGGCCAATATGGTGAAATCCCATCCCTACTAAAAATACAAAAATTAGCAGAGTTTGGTGGCGCACACTTGTAGTCCCAGCTACTCTGGAGACTGAGGCAGGGGAATCGCTTGAACCCAGGAGGCAGAGGTTGCAGTACACCGAGATTGTGCCACTGCACTCCAGCCTGGGTGACAGAGCAAGACTGAGTCTCAAAAAAAAAAAAAAAAAAGACCATTATCAAAAACATAAAAAATAACAAGGGTTAACGAGGATGTGGAGAAAAGGGAACATTTGTATGCAGTTGATGGGAATGTAAATTAGCACAACCATTATGGAAAACAGTCTGGAAGTTCCTGAAAAAATTAAACATAGAATTCCCATATGTGTCTGCAATCCAACTACTGCGCATGTATCCAAAGGAAGTGGAATCAGTATGTTGAAGAGATATCTGCATTCCCATGTTTACAGCCGCATTATTCATAACAGCCAAGATGTGGAATCACCCTTACTGCCCATCTATGGGTGCATGGACAAAGAAAACGTGGTATACGATAGGAACGTAATGAAGTACTATACAACCTTTACAACAAAGAAGGAAGTCCTCTCATTTGTGACAATGTGAAAAAACTTAGAGGACATTATGTTAAGGGAAACAATCCAGGCACAGAAAGACAAATGCCACATGATCTCATGTGTGGAGTGTAAGAAGTGGAACCTAGAGGAACAGTAAAATGGTCGTCGAAAGAACCTGGGAAGGAGAGAGATTGAAGAGATGTTGGTCAAAGGATGCAAAATTTCAGTTAGAAGAAATCGGTTCAAGAGATCTATTGTATGTCTTGGTGACTCCATTTAATAGCAACATATGGTGTATTGAACATTACTAAGAGATTAGATTTTACATGTTCTCACCACACACACAAAACATACAAGTATGTGAAAAAATAAATAGATAAAGAGGTTGTTTCATCCATTCCACAATGTGTACCTATATGAAAACATCATGATGGACACCACAAATACCCTTTTCCTCATTAATTAAATTTGTTTTGGCTTTTTTTTTGAGACGCAGTTTCACTGTTGTTGCCCAAGCTGAGGTGCAATGGCGTGATCTCCGCTCACTGCAACCTCTGCCTCCCAGGTTCAAGCGGTTCTCCTGACTCAGCCTCCCAAGCAGCTGGGACTACAGTTGCGTACCACCCCGTCCGGCTATATTTGTGTTTCTAGTAGAGACAGGGTTTCGCCATGTTGGCCAGGCTGGTCTCGAACTCCAGACCTCAGGTGATCCACCCGCTTCGCCCTCCCAAAGTGCTAGATTTCAGGCTGAGACACCACACCCAGCCTGTACATTGACTTTCTGCCCTTAAACTGTGCTGAAGTTTGTTTCTCAGATGTAGGAGCCTTTGGGCAGAGACTATGGGGTTTCTAGGTATAGAAATTATCTCATCTTCAAACAGAGGTAATTTGACTACCTCTCTCTGCTACTCTCTTCTTACTTGGATGCCTTATAATTCTTTCTCTTTCCTGATGGCTCTGTCTAGGACTTCAAGTACTATGTTGAATAGGATGGTGAGAGTGGGCATTCTTGTCTTGTTTCACTTATGAAGGGAACTTCTTCCAGCTTTTACTCATTCAGTATGATGTTGGTTGTGGGTTTGTCATAGGCGGCTCTTATTATATTGAGTTATGTTTCTTCAATGCTTAGCTTGTTGAGGGCTTTTAACATGAAGAAATGCTTAGTAAAAAGTATGTTCTACATGTGTGTTGAGAAGATCATGTGGTTTTTGTTTTTAGTTTTGTTTAGGTGATGAATCACATGTATTGATTGTGTATGTTCAACCAACCTTGCACCCTAAGAATAAAGTTGACTTGATCATGGTGGATTCACTTTTTGATATGCTGCGGGATTCAGTTCTTAGTATTTTTTGTGGATTTTTGCATCTATGCTCATCAGGAATATTGGCATGTAGTTTTCTTTTGTTTAATATTCTTTTCTGTCTTTAGTATCAGGGTGATGCCAGCCTTATAGAATGAGTAAAGGCCACCCTGGGCAAACAGTGAGACCCATCCCTTTTTAAAAATTATGAGTTTTACAAATTTAAAATGCATAGTGAAAAAGTTCTTACAAACTCCAGAAAGGTAGGTGTAAATAAGAGACATTTGTAAGAATGACAGCACATTAAATGTGTAGATTTCAACCTTCAGTTATTGCAATATTCCAGTATCAAGTTGGAGGATGTTATCAGTCTGATATTTTTTCCTCAAATGAGAGAGAGAAAGAAAGACACACAAACAACACAGGGAGAAAAAAAGCACACGTTACAGAGAGACAAAAAGGGAGACAGGGAACTGTGAATTTGGACTCTTGTGTCATAAGACAAATTCTAGATAACACGACCAGACCTTCAATTGACATATTGTGTTTTTGCTAATAAGGTGGAATTCTATGATGCGAAATAACTATATAGTCTTTTCTACTGGGATTTAAATCATTTTATCTGTTTCTGGCTTAACAGGAAAAATACAACCATGGAAAATTATGATGATTTATTTAATACGATTGCTCTATAGTGTTAATAAAACCTATTAGGTATTTTGCATATTACATATCAAGGAGAGTTTGAATCTCAGGTAGAAACAAAAAAAAATACATCAAAAGTTCCTCATGTGAGTGCAGAATTCAATCGTCCCGTGCAGGGGTAAGTGAGTCTGAGATGTGTTTTGAGCCTGGTCATTGCGCATGATGTGAACTGACAAGTCTAGTCTGCAGTTTTCAGAAACCCTCATTCCTCCCTTGACTGACTCACCACTTGAACCTCATATGACGTAGAAGAAGCCTACCTATGTCCCCTTCACATGTTGTGGTCAATGTGTCAACTGCACGATCCGGGCCCCTCACCACATCCTCTGCACCGGTCAGTCGAGCCGAGTCACTGCGTCCTGGCAGCAGAAGCTGCACCATGTCCATGTCACCCACGGTCATCATCCTGGCATGTCTTGGTGAGTCCTGGAAGGGAAGGAGCACCAGGGTTACACTATGGGCCTGCAGATTGGGTGTCTCCCCAGCAGAGAGCCATGTTCTGAAGCAAGTGAGTGGTGAGGATGAGTTAATTTTCAGTCCAGCGTGGCGCCCAGTGGCTCAGGAGGAAAGGGTAGGTTGGTGCCGAGATGAATAGTTCATCATGATCTTTCTTTGCAGGGTTCTTCTTGGACCAGAGTGTGTGGGCACACGTGGGTGAGTCCTTCCCCAAATGATGGGTTGCCATCTTCACCCCAATACAAGTGAATTTTCCGGAAATGGGAGGGAGGCAGCACAGAGGGTGGGCTGATGGGCTGACCATGGGAAGGCCTGGGGGGAGTCTCTCATGAACTAGTAAGAGGAGATCCTGGGAGTCTCTCATGAACTAGTAAGAGGAGATCCTGGGAGTCTCTCATGAACTAGTAAGAGGAGATCCTGGGAGTCTCTCATGAACTAGTAAGAGGAGATCCTGGTATGCTCAGCCCTCTGTTTTGTCTTAGCCCTCCCCAGCCTTTCTTCCCCATGGCTGAGTTGAGCTCTGTGTGGCCCAGGCGGGATACTGAGGTGCTCAAAGCTGGGGTGTGTGGGGGGATGTGGTGTCACCGACAGAGGAGGGAAGGGTAGCAGTGTTAGGAACAGCAGGTCCTCTGAGGACAAGAGGGTAACTCACACCCTCCAGCGTTTCCATGACGGTAGGGGCTGCAGTGTGGCTGCTGTCATTCTGCCAGAAGAGGTGGGGGAACCACAGCCACGACCCTGCCATTCCAAATCCTCTGATGGAGCTCAGTTGTTTATTGTGGTTCAGGCATTAGCTAATATTCCATTCACAAAGGTCATACCCTCCACCCCATGTCTACTTTGTGTTGTTTGGTGTAACTAATCTTGCAGTATTAAAATCTAGTAAGAGTCCCTTACTCAGCACCTGCTCAGTTCTCAACTGACACTTTTGTTGTAGGGAGACGCCACGTCTATGCGGGATGGGTCCTTCCTGTAGCCCCAGGCACCCAGGTGTGGTAGGAGCCTTAGAAAGAAGAAATGGGGAGAATCTTCTGAGCACAGGGAGGGAGGGGCAGCTCAACATACTCCTCTCTGAGGCGGCATCTCCTTCTCCCCAAGGTGGTCAGGACAAGCCCTTCTGCTCTGCCTGGCCCAGCGCTGTGGTGCCTCAAGGAGGACACGTGACTCTTCGGTGTCACTATCGTCGTGGGTTTAACATCTTCACGCTGTACAAGAAAGATGGGGTCCCTGTCCCTGAGCTCTACAACAGAATATTCTGGAACAGTTTCCTCATTAGCCCTGTGACCCCAGCACACGCAGGGACCTACAGATGTCGAGGTTTTCACCCGCACTCCCCCACTGAGTGGTCGGCACCCAGCAACCCCCTGGTGATCATGGTCACAGGTCAGAGGGCTCCTGTCTGGGCTTCTCCTTGTCCCACCTCCTGAGTCCCAGAGCTTCTGGTGGGGGTGTCCACCAGAGTCCGATCATCCAGGCCCCAACTATATTTGGGGTAAAGGGGGATTGAATACAGGGGAATGGGTGCTGTGTTGGAAAGAATAACTGTCCCCATCGATGGCCACATTGTAATCCTTGGAGCCTGTGACTATGTTATAGGGCAGGGGACTGAAGGGGAAGATGGAGCTCAGGTTGTTGATGAGTTGACCTTGAGATGGGGAGATGGCCTGGACTCTCCCACTGGGCTCAGTGTAATCACAAGGGTCCATATGAGTGGAGAAGGAAGAGGAGAATGGGGATTAGAGCAGCATCGTGGGATACTCCACCAGCCACTGTGGGCTTTGAAGGTGGAGGAAGACCACGAGCCACGAAGGGGCTGGAGAAATCAATGGAACTGATTCTCCCGAGTCTCCAGAGGGAATGCAGCCCTGCAGATGCCTTGATTGTAGCCCAGGAAGAACAGGGTCTGATTTCTGTCTCCAGAAGTGGAAGGGGTCAGTGTGTTCTCTCCTGTCGCCATGTTTGTGATAATTTTCTCCAGCAACAACAGGAAACCAACACAGGAACCCAGGTGAAGGACAAGTTAAAAAACCAAACAAGAAGGTTGGCTACCCTGAGATCAGCAAGGGTGCACTGCTGATGCCACCACCAGGCTGGAACCACATAGGGAGGGATCGACAGGAAGAGTTGGGGGTGGAGGGTGAGAGAGAGAGAGAGAGCACTAGGCCATAGAGCAGGGCAGTGAGTTCTCAGCTCAGGTGGGAGGGGAGCTGTGACAAGGAAGAACCTCCCTGAGGAAACTGCCTCTTCTCCTTCCAGGTCTATATGAGAAACCTTCGCTTACAGCCCGGCCGGGCCCCACGGTTCGCACAGGAGAGAACGTGACCTTGTCCTGCAGCTCCCAGAGCTCCTTTGACATCTACCATCTATCCAGGGAGGGGGAAGCCCATGAACTTAGGCTCCCTGCAGTGCCCAGCATCAATGGAACATTCCAGGCCGACTTCCCTCTGGGTCCTGCCACCCACGGAGAGACCTACAGATGCTTCGGCTCTTTCCATGGATCTCCCTACGAGTGGTCAGACGCGAGTGACCCACTGCCTGTTTCTGTCACAGGTGAGGAAAGCCAATGTCTGTCCCATGTCCTATGGTCCTAGAGCCTTAGCTGAGGAGCTTCCTGCTGATGATGGAGAGAAGCATGGACAGATGTGGAGAGAAGATGCAGCATGGTGTGAGGGCGGGATCAGGGCACAGGATGGCAGACAGGGCACCTCCAAACCCTCCTGCATGGCCTGCATGGAAGCTTGCAGTAAGGGCTCCGGGTACCCAGGCAGATGGAGAAAGTGGTCAGGACAGACCCAGAGGAGGGAGACTGGGCTCAGTTTGGGGAGATCAGAGGTTCCCTCAGCCCCTCAACCTTACCCATTTCCCAGAAGCCCACCCTGGCCTCTCACCTACACAGAGATGTCATCACCAGCAACCCCTACACTTTTTCTTTTCCTTTGAAAAAATGCTGATTGAGGTTAAATATACCTATATAATTTATCAACTTTACCATTTTTAAGTGTAAAATCTAGGGATCATAAATACCTTTATATGCTCTGTGCGGTGGCTCACGCCTGTAATCTCAGCATTTTGAGACGCCAAGGCAGGTGGATCATTTAAAATCAGGGGCTGGAGACCAGCCTGGCCAACATGGGGGAACCAATCTTTACTAAAAAGACAAAAAAAATAAAATTAGCCAGGCATGGTGCCAGGCGCCTATAATCCCAGCAACTTGGGAGGCTGAGGCGGGAGAGTGGCTTAAACCCAGGAGGAGGAGGTTGCAGTGAGCTGAGATCATGCCACTGCACTGCAGCCTGGTGACACAGAGAGACTCTGTCTCTAAATAAATAAATAAATAAATACTTTTATATTCTTCTTTTGTTACCCTCCACCCCTTCCTTCCTAACCTCTGGTATCCACCATTCTACTCTCTACCTTCATGAGGTCCACCTTTTACATCCTGCATGTGAGTAAGAAATGGCAATCCTTGTAATGACCTCTAGTCCATCCATGTGGCTGCAAATGACAGGACGTTACTCTTTCTATGGATGAGTTGTCTCCATTGTGTGTATGTACTACATTCTCTCTATCCATTCATCCACTGATGGGCAGGTAGGTTGACTCCACATCTTGGCTACTGTGAACAGTGCTGGAACAGTCATGGGAGTGCAGATGTCACTTCAATACACTGAAGTCCTTTTCTTTGCATTTACACCCACTAGTGGAATTGCTAGATCCTCTGGATGTTCTCTTTTTAGGTTTTGTTTTATGCTTTTTGTTTTTTTGACATAGCGTTTCACTCTTGTTGCCCAAGCTGGAGTGCAATGGCACCACCTGGGCTCACTGCAACCTCTACCTCCAGGATTCAAGTGATTCTCCAGCCTCAGCCTCCCGAGTAGTTGGGATTACTGGTGCCCGCCACCAAGCCTGGCTGATTTTTGTATTTTTAGTAGAGACGGGGTTTCACCATGTTAGCCAGGCTGGTCTCGAACTCTTGACCTCCAGTGATCTGCCCACTTCAGCCTCCCAAGGTGCTGGGATTACAAGCGTGAGCCACAGTGCCTAATCTCTTTTCAGTTTTTAAGGAACTTCCATATTCTTCTCCTCTGTAATGGCTGTATTAATTTACATTCCTATCAACAGTGTATCAGGGTTCTCCTTTCTCCACCACCTTGCCAACATTTGTTTTGTCTGTCTCTGAGATAAAACCCATTGTAATGGGGTGAGATGATAGCTCATTGTGACTTCATTTGCATTTCTCTGATGATTAGTGATACTGAGCACTTTTTCATATATGCAATGTATATATGTTCATTTGTATGTTTTGTTCATTGAGAAATGTCTGTTCAGGTCTTTTACTAATTTTATAATTAAATTATTAGTTTTATTGAGGTGTTTGAGCTTCTTTTATATTCTAGTTATTAATCCCATCTCAGATGCATAGTTTGCAAATATTTGCTCCCATTCTGTGGGTTTTCTCTTCTTCACTTCATTGGTTGCTTCCTTTGCGGTGCAGAAGCTGCTTGATTTGATATAATCCCAATGGTCTATTTTTTTTGTTGTTGTTGTGATTACTTGTGTTTTTGAGGTTTTAAACAAAATGTCTTCCCTCAGACAAATGTCCTGGAGCATTTCTCCAGTGTTTCCTTTTAGACATTTAATGGATTCAGGTCTTAAGTCATTAATCCATTTTCATCTGATTTTTGTGTATGGTGAGAGGTAGAGGTGCAGTTTCATCCCTCTGCATGTAGATATCCAGTTTTCCCTGCACCATTTATTGAAATGACTGTCCTTTCCAGATTGTAGATTCTTCGAACCTTTGTCAAAGTCCATTGGATGTAAATGGGTGGATTACATCCGTGTTCTTCATTCTGCTTCATTGTTTTATGTGCTTTTCTTTATGCCAATGTCATGTTGTTTTGCTTACTACAGCTCTGTAACATATTTTTAAGTCAGGTAGTGTGATGCTCCTGTTTTCTCCTTATACCTTGAAGTCTCAAGATAGTTGGTGTCACCTACAATGATTATGGAGAATGGGATGCCAGGACTCCCAGGGCCCAACATTAGATAATAGAAGGTTGGCCATGAACCAACCTCAAAGATTTCCATTGAGTAGAAAAGACAGGCATCCTCATTGCCACACCTCTCTCCTGTCCCATGTTCTAGGAAACCCTTCTAGTAGTTGGCCTTCACCCACTGAACCAAGCTTCAAAACTGGTAAGTGAAGGACCCCTCTTATCTCTGCTTTTGGAAACCTGGGGAGGTAGAAGCCTTGGATTCAAGCGTTGGCTCAGCACCTGCCAGCTCTGTGATTGTGGGCCTGTCTTCCATTGTCTCTGAACCCCAGACACTCCAACAGCGAAAGGGATCTGGGCCCAGCACAGGGCTCAGTGAAATCTCTTAATCTCTAATTTTCTGCTGCTGAGACCTCAGGGTAGAAGGATGAGTGCAAATCAGACATTCTTCTCAGGAAAAATGCTGTGTTTGTTCTGCCTGCATTCCTAACTGGGAGGACAAATGCCTGGGGGCTTGAGAAGGGGAAGGAAGGGGAACATTTTTGAGGGTGGTGTGTTTGTAGAGAAGTTCTACTTGCCAAGGAATGAGCTCCTGTCTGTCATGATCCAACCCTGGTTGACTTAGTGGAACAAGAGCTTTGCGGTAAGAGAGAACGTAGTTCATCCGTGCACATGACACTTCCACTTACTCGTTCAGCCACTGCCCCATGCTCAGACTGTGCAGTGTGGAACTTTTTCCTATGTTGCCATAACAAATTTCCACAAGCTTCGTGGATGGAAACCACATTTTTAAAAAATATCTCATGGTGCTGTAGCTCAGAAGTATGAAATGCATCATCTCACTGGGCTAAAATCAAGGTGACAGCAAGGCTGCCTTCCCTCTGAATGTTCCAGGCAAGAATCTGCTTCCTCACTTTTCCCAGCTCCTAGAGGCTCCCACATTCCTTGGCTCCTGGTCCCCGTCTTCCTCCCTCAAAGTCCACAAAGGCTGGTCACGCCTCTCACACGGCATCACTCAGACCCTTCTTCCTTGTCCACACCTCTTTCTCTGAATGCTGCTCTGCCTTCTTCCTCATCTTTTAAGGACTTTGGCATTCTATTGGAAACACCAAGATAATCCATCATAATTTCCCTAAAATCATCTAGGATACCCTCCTTTTAAGGTTAGCTGATTAGCAACCGTAATTCCATCTGCAATCTGCATTCCTTTTTTCCATGTAAAATAACATATTCACAAGATATGGCGACTAGGACAGGAACATTTTGGGGTGGGGCGGCATTCTTATCCTTTCCACAAATGGTAAACAAGGTGCATTTGGCCTCTGCTCTTGGACACTGATATTGCAAAGGATTAAATGGGAGGGCAGAAAATGAATACACCAGTGGACCAATAAATGAATGATCCATTGGGAAGCATCTGTGCATGAGAATGATTGATTGATTGGTTGTTTTTATGAGACGGTGTCTCCCTCTGTGCCCCAGGCTGGAGTGCAGTGGCGGGATCTCGGCTCACCGCAACCTCCACCTCCCAGGTTAAAGCGATTCTCTACACTCAGCTTCCCGAGAGGCTGGGATTACACCCATGTCCCACCACGCCTGGCTAATTTTTTTTTGGTATTTTTTTTTAGTACAGACAAGGTTTTACCATGTTGCCCAGGCTATCTCAAACTCCCAACCTTAAGGGATCCGCCCGTCTCAGCCTCCCAAAGTGCTGAGATTAGAGGCGTGAGCCAAGGCGCCGAGCCGTATTTTAAAAGAAATAATAGATAATGCTGAGTGTATAATTTCGGGTGACAGAGAAGTTCTCACTGATCAAATAATACTTGTGACCTTAATGAAAAAAATAGATCAACCCCTGGAAGATTGGCGGAAGGATTTTCCACACAGCTGTCAGCCGTGAAGGCACAAAGGTGAAAACAATGTTATGTGGAAGGAAGAGGCTCTGCCTGAAATGCTGGGAATGACATGGGGAGAATGACAAGACGACTGTGGAGAGACAGAGAGCACTCTGGGTACACAGGAAACTAAGGAGGAACAAGGAGCGTGTGTTTGATACTCACAGCCATTGGACTTACCTCGGGGCTAACTGGGAATCCCTACATGATGAATAGTGACTGACATGAAAATAAGGGAGGCCCAGGTGCATAACTGGAATCTAGGAGACTGTGGAAAAGGCAATTCCCGCCCCCCTGGTGAAATGTGGTGCTGATTTAGACACTAAATGAATGAAAGATGGACACAAGATGTGTTTGTGAGGTAGAGTAATTTGCAGGGAGGGCTTGCCTGGTTTGATTTTTCCTAATTGTTTAATCTTCACTTCATTGATTTCTTTCTGAGATTTATTTTTCCTACATGTAAATCAATACTTGGCAGAGGAGTGAGAGATACATGAGGGGTGGTGCAAAGGAAGAGACCTATTATAATATAACACACAAGGTTCTGAACGGTGGCTCACACCTGTAACCCAACATTTTGGGAGGCTGAGGAGGCTGGATCAAGTGAGATCAGGAGTTCGAGATCAGCCTGGACAACATGGTGAAACCCCATCTCTACTAAATATACAAAAACTAGCTGGGGGTGGTGGCGCGTGCCTGTAATACCAGCTATTCAGGAAGTTGAAGAAGGAGAATGGCTTCAACCAGGGAGGGAGAGGTTACAGTGAGCCAAGATCGCGTCATTGCATTGCACCCTAGGTGACAGAGTGAGACTCCATGGCAAAAAATAAAAATAAAGAATACATAAATATAATATAACATACACGAATGACAAAGGCACACCAATTCCAATCATCATTTTTCTATTTCTCTATAATGACTTCTTTGATCCTTTATCCTATCCATAAGAAAATCAGGCGAAAACATCTTCCTTATTTGGCTTTCTGTGAGCATGAGATCATATGGAAAATGTGAAACCCACCAGCACAGGTCCTGGAATAGAGAACGTGATCTGTTCATGGCACAAAACTTGCCCCTTCACCCAAATCCCCCACCTCACCCCTACTTCCAATCACATTAATGATACAGATAGATCATGGGGAGGTAAAAACTAATATTCTTTGGAGTTCAGATCGTAGACTCAGAGACCAGTGCCAGCACTATCTCCTGGTCACCTTTTGGAGTAATTCACAGAAAGACAGGCTGTATTGAAGCAACAGATGATGGAGGGGGTGGTCTTTCCCCCAGACTCTCGGGTGGAACAGCAGCCTAATATCTGACTCCCAAGATGACAAAAGTAGCATGTTGCCCACGAGCTTCATCATTATTTCCTGGCTGTTTGATATAAGACAGCTCAACCTCACTTATGTTGATTTCAATGTCACTGTTTTTTCCTTTTCTTGGAGAATGTAATTTGTTTGAGTCAAGAGGGTTGTGGATGTAGAAACTGTAAAGCACATTCACTGTGTATCAATCCCAGTCCAGTCTTCCCAGAGAAGACTCTAAACACCTCCCATACTGCACCTGGGCCTGTGCCAATTTCTATCACTCACCATCACTCCAGGTAGACAGAACACACAGGGAATACATTACATAGGCAGGTTCATTACTTATAGATAAGCAGCGAGTGACAACAGAAACCTTCCTTTCAGGGTGAGCCAGTCCCTCAAGGCTCAGAAAAACTGCTCAGGACACATGGAGTCACTTCATGTGCACTGTAGCTGGGGGAAGCCAGAAAGCAGCCCAGCCTGGGTTTTGTACCCTGGAGCCACAGGGAACACTCAGCTAAAGCACTGCATGATGTTCTCCTCCAGGAAGAACAGGAAGACAGCCCAGGCTGTTCTGAGACGTTCCTCCTGATCTCAGGATGTTGCTGTCTTAGCCTATTTTTGTTGCTATAAAAGAACACTTGAGCCTGGGTATCTTCTAAAGAAAAGAGATGTGTTTGGCTCACTGATCGGCACGCTGTACTAGAAGCAGGACACTACCATCTATTTCTGGCTGCGGCCTCAGGCTGCTCCCACACTGACAGAAGAGAAGGGGGTCCTGCGTGTGCAGAGACCACAGAGATCACATGGCAAGAGAGGGAGAAAGGGGGTGTGATGGAGCTTCCAAGCTCTTTTTAAGAATCAACTCTCCAGGGTACTAATAGAGGGAGAACTTGCTAAACCCGTCCTCTGGGGACAGCATTAATCTATTCATGATGGATCCACCCCCATGACCAAAACACCCCTCCCAATAGGCACAACCTCCCACACTGGGGATTAAATTTCAAAGTGGGGTTTGGAGGGGTCAAACATTGAAACAATAGCAGTTGTATCATCAGCACATTCTATTGTTATTATGAAAACTATAACGGAGAAAGCAGGAGAAAGCTGGGTCTCCCGCCTCGTGGGTGCTTGTCCTAAAGAGGTGTTTTATGTGGTTGCCTGGCAACCAAGAAATGAGAGACAATCCACAAAGAGGAACTGCTATGGTTAGCTTCTTATTGGATTCTCATCTTCCTCCAGGTATCGCCAGACACCTGCATGCTGTGATTAGGTACTCAGTGGCCATCATCCTCTTCACCATCCTTCCCTTCTTTCTCCTTCATCGCTGGTGCTCCAAAAAAAAAAGTAAGCCTCACGAAGCAGAGGCCAGAGAACTCAGGGCCCTGTGCGGAAGCAGGATGGGAGCACGCAGGTGTGTGTTCCTCACTGGCAGGAAAGTCTCTGGCCCAAGGCAGGAGCCAGAGGCAGAGCTTTCTAGAGAGAGCACCAGACACCCTGCCCCTGCCTTCAGCTCACAGACCATTGCCTGATTGTGAACTGTATCCTCACGTCCCCTGCAGCCACTCACATCCAGGAGAAGATTCCATGACAGGCAGAAAGTGGGAGATAGAATCAATGGGATGGGAACTGACAGCTATTCATGGAATGGGGTCTTGCACTCAGAGAGATGGAATGTCTGAGTCTGGCTGTTGGCAGCTGAGGGACCTCAGGCACCTATGGCCTCCCCCTGTGTGTTGGTATCTGTTCATGAAATGAGGACCCAGAAGTGCCCTCCCAGCTGTTTTGATTGCTTCCGTCTCCTACAGATGCTGCTGTAATGAACCAAGAGCCTGCGGGACACAGAACAGTGAACAGGGAGGTAGGTCCTCCTAGCCCAGCCTCATGGATACAGTCTTATTCCCTAATAGTCCTGAAAAATGTGAACACCCTCCCTCACTCAGGATTTCCCTCTCTCCAGGACTCTGATGAACAAGACCCTCAGGAGGTGACATACGCACAGTTGGATCACTGCATTTTCACACAGAGAAAAATCACTGGCCCTTCTCAGAGGAGCAAGAGACCCTCAACAGATACCAGCGTGTGTATAGAACTTCCAAATGCTGAGCCCAGAGCGTTGTCTCCTGCCCATGAGCACCACAGTCAGGCCTTGATGGGATCTTCTAGGGAGACAACAGCCCTGTCTCAAACCCAGCTTGCCAGCTCTAATGTACCAGCAGCTGGAATCTGAAGGCGTGAGTCTCCATCTTAGAGCATCACTCTTCCTCACACCACAAATCTGGTGCCTGTCTCTTGCTTACCAATGTCTAAGGTCCCCACTGCCTGCTGCAGAGAAAACACACTCCTTTGCTTAGCCCACAATTCTCTATTTCACTTGACCCCTGCCCACCTCTCCAACCTAACTGGCTTACTTCCTAGTCTACTTGAGGCTGCAATCACACTGAGGAACTCACAATTCCAAACATACAAGAGGCTCTCTCTTAACACGGCACTTAGACACGTGCTGTTCCACCTTCCCTCGTGCTGTTCCACCTTTCCTCAGACTATTTTTCAGCCTTCTGGCATCAGCAAACCTTATAAAATTTTTTTGATTTCAGTGTAGTTCTCTCCTCTTCAAATAAACATGTCTGCCTTCATTCTTTAGGTGACTCTTTTTTTGGCTGAAAGTTTCCAGTGTTATCATTACCATGTCCAAATAACTCCAACTGTTCTCCACTGGGTTCTCACCCCTGGACTCTGAGCTTCTGGAAGCAGGGTGGAGCCTGATTTGTCTCTGAGACTCCAATTTCCATCCAAAGATGCAGCACATAAGAGGTTCCAAGGATCGTGAATCACATGAACAAGTGATATTCTTACTCTCTGCAGACCTGGAAAGCTGGCAGAGTCATTCCATGATGAAACATTTGTAGAGTCATAGGCCTTGTCAGTCTCATCTCCACGGGGACACATATCAACACATCATCTTTCATACTATAAATATACAGTCGGTCCTCTGTATCTGTGGGATTTACAGGTGTTTATTGAACCAAATATAAATCAAAAATATTCAGAGAAAAAATCCACAAAGTTTCAAAAAGCAAAACTATGTTGAATGGACACAAATGAAGCTGTGTGTAGGCTGTATCAGGAATTATAAATAATCAAGGGATGATTTCATGTACACAGGAGGATGTGCATGGGTTATTTGCAAATGCTGTGCCATTTCATGTAAGAGGCTTGAGCATCTGCAGATTGTGCTATCTGAGTGGAGATCCTGAAACCAATCACCCACGAATAGTGAGGGATGACTGTATATAATTTTTATTTCTCAATTTTAAATATAAAACATAAAAAAATTACAATAACAAGATAAAATAAACAAGTGTTTTATAGTGTGAGAATACTTTTAGATATATTTTTCTCCATGTGTAACCCTTGGGCCCATGTTATTTATTGAGAAGACATTCTATTCCACCTTAAACCACATGGCAGCCTTTGTCAACTATAAAGGGACTGTGTGTACACGGATGTATTTTAGACACTGTTTTCTGCTCAGTGGCTCTCTCTCTGTCCACTCTCTTGAGAATGCTGCATTTTATGCAGCCTTATACAACCCCTAAAATTTGGTAGCTGGAGTCCTCTAGTTATTTATTATAGGCTATTTGCTATGCTTTTTTTATTTTTCTTGAGGCAGAGTCTCGCTCTGTTGCCCAGGCTGGAGTGCAGTGGCACGATCTCGGCTCACTGCAACTTCCGCCTCCCAGGTTCAAGGGATTCCGTGCCTCAGCCTCTTGAATAGCTGGCATTACAAGTGCCTGCTACCAGGCATGGCTAATTTTTGTATTTTTAGCAGAGACATGGTTTCACTATATTGGCCAGGCTGGTCTCAAACTCCTGACCTCGGTTGATCACTCACTTCGGCTTCCAAAGTGCTGGGGAAATTGATTTTCTATAGCATTATGTTACTGGATATTTCTGTAAAATTTAAAATGAGGGAGGCAGAGAGACAGAGAGAGAGCAAACCATGAGTTGGAACTCTGGAATCTTGGGACATGAGACAAATTCTAGATAAATCTACAAAAATCCAGAATTTACATGTTGTGATTTTTGCTGATAAAGTACAATTCTAAGATTGTAAATAATTGCATAATCCTTCCCTGGGAGTTTAAATCATTTGAACTGGTTCTGCTGTAATACTAGAAATACAATCATGAAAAATTCTAATGGTTTATTAGTCACAATTGCTCTGAAAACCTTAATAATACCTATTAGATATTTTGCATATTACACAGGAAGAAGAGTTTGAATCTCAGATAAAAGCAATAAAAATACATGAAAAGTCTTTCATGTTAGCACAGATTTTAGGCATCTCGTGTTCGGGAGGTTGGATCTAAGACGTGTTTTGAGTTGGTCATAGTGAAGGACGCGAGGTGTCAATTCTAGTGAGAGCAATTTCCAGGAAGCCATGTTCCGCTCTTGAGCGAGCACCCACTGGGCCTCATGCAAGGTAGAAAGAGCCTGCGTACGTCACCCTCCCATGATGTGGTCAACATGTAAACTGCATGGGCAGGGCGCCAAATAACATCCTGTGCGCTGCTGAGCTGAGCTGGGGCGCGGCCGCCTGTCTGCACCGGCAGCACCATGTTGCTCATGGTCGTCAGCATGGCGTGTGTTGGTGAGTCCTGGAAGGGAATCGAGGGAGGGAGTGCGGGGATGGAGATCTGGACCTGGAGGTAAAGATATGGGCCTAGAGGTGGAGTTATGGGCCTGGAGGTGGAGTTATGGGCCTGAAGTGGAGATCTGGGCCTGGAGTGGAGATCTGGGCCTGGAGTGGAGATAGGGGCCTGGGGTGGAGATATGTGCCTGGAGTGGAGATCTGGGCCTGGAGTGGAGATATGGGCCTGGGGTGGAGATATGTGCCTGGGGTGGAGATATGGGCCTGGAGGGGAGATATGGATGGGCCTGGAGGGGAGATGTGGGCCTAGAGGTGGAGTGATGGGCCTAGAAGTGGAGCGATGGGCCTGGAGTGGAGATATGGGCCTGGAGGTGGAGTTATGGGCCTGCAGTAGAGATATGGGCCTGAAGTGGAGATATGGGCCTGGAGTGGAGATATGGGCCTAGAGGTGGAGTTATGGGCCCGGAGGTGGAGTTAAGGGCATGAAGTGGAGATCTGGGCCTGGAGTGGAGATATGATCCTGGAGTGGAGATATGGGCCTGGGGTGGAGATACGGGCCTGGAGCAGACATACAAGCCTGGAAAGGAGATATGGGCCTGGAGAGGAGATAGAAGCCTGGAGTGGAAATATGGGCCTGGAGTGGAGATATGAGCCTGGAGTGGATATATGAGCCTGGAGTTGAGATAGGAGCCTGGAGTGGAGATATGGGCCTGGAGTGGACTTATCAGCCTGGAGAGGAGATATGGGTCTGGAGTGGAGATACGGACCTGGAGTGGAGATCTGGGCCTGTTGTGTAGATCTAGGCCTGGAGGTAGAGATCTGGGCCTGGAGGCTGAGTCTCTGCACAGCCGAGATCCTTGTTCCTGGGGGCAGGTAGGCAGCGAGGGTGAGTTTACCTTCAGCCCAGCAAGGGCCTGGCTGCCAAGACGCACAGCCCAGTGGGGGCAGCAGGGTGCCCTGGTTTGCCTGCAGATGGATGGTCCATCATGATCTTTCTTTCTAGGGTTCTTCTTGGTCCAGAGGGCCGGTCCACACGTGGGTGAGTCCTTCCCCAAACCTTAGGGTGTCATCTCCCCACATAAGAGGATTTTCCTGAAATGGGAGGGAAGTCCTGTCGGGGAGTCTCTCATAAACTAGGAAGAGGGGACCCTCGGATGCTCGGCCCACATTTCTGACCTTGCCCTCCCCGGCCTTTCTTTCCCTTTCCTGAGTCAAGCTCTGTGAAGACTGGGGTGAGACTAGGGTGCTCCAAGATGGGTGTGCAGGGAGGAAGTGGTGTCAGCAGCAGAGAAAGAGAGGGAAGCAGTGCTAGGAACAGCAGGTCCTCTGAGGACAAAGGTGTAACTCACACCCTCCAGCGTTTCCGTGATGGTAGGGGCTGCAGTGTGGCTGTGGTCTTTCTACCAGAAAAGGTGAGGAAACCACAGCCATGGCCCTGACATTCCAAATCCTCTGATGGGGGCTCAGTTCATCAATTGGCTGATATTCCATTCACATAGGACTTGCCCTCCATGCCGTGTCTACTTTGTGTTGTTTTATATGAGTAATTTTGCAGTATTAAAATCTAGTAAGAGTTGCTTCTCCAGCACTTGCTCAAAGTTCTCAGCTGACACTTGTTGTAGGGAGACGCCATGTCTATGCAGGATGGGTCCTTCCTGTAGCCCTGGGCACCCAGGTGTGGTAGGAGCCTTAGAAAGTGGAAATGGGGAGAATCTTCTGGGCACTGGGAGTGAGGGGCGGCTCCACATCCTCCTCTCTAAGGCAGTGCCTCCTTCTCCCCCAGGTGGTCAGGACAAGCCCTTCCTGTCTGCCTGGCCCAGCGCTGTGGTGCCTCGAGGAGGACACGTGACTCTTCGGTGTCACTATCGTCATAGGTTTAACAATTTCATGCTATACAAAGAAGACAGAATCCACGTTCCCATCTTCCATGGCAGATTATTCCAGGAGAGCTTCAACATGAGCCCTGTGACCACAGCACATGCAGGGAACTACACATGTCGGGGTTCACACCCACACTCCCCCACTGGGTGGTCGGCACCCAGCAACCCCGTGGTGATCATGGTCACAGGTCAGAGGCTTTCCGTCTGGGCTTCTCACTGTCCCACCTCCTGAATCCCAGAGCTTCTGGTGGGGGTGTCCGTCAGGGTCCCATCACCCAGGCCCTGACTGTATTTGGGGTCAAGGGAGATTGAATACAGGGGAAATGGGTGCTGTGGTGGGAAGAATCACTGTCCCCAATGATGGCTACATTGTAATCCCTGGAGCCTGTGACTATTTATGTTACAGGGCAGGGGACTGAAGGGGAAGGTGGAGCTCAGGTTGTTGATGAGTTGACCTTGAGATGGGGAGACAGCCTGGACTGTCCCACTGGGCTCAGTGTAATCACAAGGGTCCACATGAGAGGTGGAGGAAGAGGGGAGTGGGGATTAGAGCAGTGTAGTGGGAGGGAGACGCTATCAGCCACTGCGGGCTTTGAAGGTGGAGGAAGACCACTAGTCACAGAATGCAGGTGGCCTCTAAGGGCTGGAGAAGTCAAGAGAACTGATTCGCTGATTCTCCAGAGGGAACGCAGCCCTGTAGACACCTTGATTTCAGCACAGGGAGAACTGGATCCAATTTCTGTCTCCAGAAGTGGAAGGGGTCAGTGTGTTCTCTCCCGCTGCCATGTTTGTGGTAATTTTCTGCAGCAGCAACAGGAAACCAACACAGGAACCCAGGTCAAGGACAAGTTAGGAAACCAAACAAGGATAGCCAGATGTGGTGGTGGGCGCGAGTAATCCAACGACTGGGGAGGCTGAGGCAAGAGAATCACTTGAACTGGGGATTTGTTCAAAAGAGATTGATTCAGGCTGCTAAGAGCCTGGACATGCAGCCTGTCCTCTTCCACCCCCACATAGACAGCAGGAAAGAGATTAGTGGGAAACAGATACAACAGCCCAAGAGATGAGGCTGTCTTCACAGTGGCAAGGGAGTCAGGGGCTACTGGAGACAGAGGGACAGAGAAGAGGGAGGAAGACAGATGGAGGCACCTGCACCAGGGGATATGGGCACAGAAAAGACACGGAGATGCAGAGAGGGAGGAGAGAGACAGACACGGGGAGGGGAACCCTCACTCATTCCAGGTGCCATGGATGGGATGATAAAGAGAGATGCCTTCTAAACTCACAACTTCTCTTTCTAGGAAACCACAGAAAACCTTCCCTCCTGGCCCACCCAGGTCCCCTGGTGAAATCAGGAGAGAGAGTCATCCTGCAATGTTGGTCAGATATCATGTTTGAGCACTTCTTTCTGCACAAAGAGGGGATCTCTAAGGACCCCTCACGCCTCGTTGGACAGATCCATGATGGGGTCTCCAAGGCCAATTTCTCCATCGGTCCCATGATGCTTGCCCTTGCAGGGACCTACAGATGCTACGGTTCTGTTACTCACACCCCCTATCAGTTGTCAGCTCCCAGTGATCCCCTGGACATCGTGGTCACAGGTGAGAGTGTCTAGACATTGTTCTCATTGTCACTGGGACACAGAGTGAATGATCCAGGACTTGGAACCCCCAGGTGGTCATGAGGAAGATAAGTGTGGGATTCTTATGGAAAGAGAGTGACTTGGTGAGGTCTGTACCAACAGAGACAGAGAAACAGGAGACATAAGTACAGAACAGGTGTCATAACAGAGGACAGACACAGGGGCCATACAGGGAGGTAGAAAAGAGAGAAAGAGGTAAAGGAGACACTCAGACAGACAGACATGTCCCAGAGAGAGGTGTCCTTCCATGCTGACTTTGCTCAGAGACCTGGCACAGGTTAGAAGTTTCATTTCTGTTTTACCTCCACAAAGTGTTCCTACCAGAAGAACCCAAGGACACCCATATTTCTGACCTGAGTTGGGCCCTGTGGCCTCAGGCCTTGTGCCACCTACAGATGCCGTGTTTATTCTGACACCTCTGCCTTCCATGCAATGGAGAGTAATCATCCCAGGATATCATGGCCCCTGAACACCAACCCCTGTATGCTGTGTGAACTTGGGGTCCCCAGACTGGATTCTGAGGCTCATATTCCAAATAATCCCACATATGATAGGATCGCTGAGAGACACAGAGAAAAATCAGGGACACCAAAAAACAAAGACATAAACACACACAAAATGAGCCAGAAGAAGGAGATTAAGAGATTCACAGACACATAAAAAGAAAGAAAAGAGGGCAGAATGGAGAGAATGATGGAAAGGAGGAGAGAAAAGCCCCAAAATCAGAACCCTGAGGGAGGGACACAAAGACAGAGAAAGATAAATATGTGGGGATGGATTGCAGAGATTCCAAATAGAACTAGAGAGACTGAGAGGCAGAGAAAGACAAGGAGACGGAGAGAGAGAGATGATAGATGGATAGATAGACGTAGATAGATGATAAATAGGTAGATGATAGATAATGGATTGGTTATAGATACATAGATGATGACTGATAGATGATACATAGAGATGACGATGATGATGATAGACACATAGATATATACATAGATGATACATAAATAGAGACAGAGAGGCAGACAGAGAGGTAATAGAGAGAGAGATAGATGATACATATATAGATAATAGATGATTGATGGATAGATAGACAGATAGACAATTGATAGAGAGATAGATAAGTGATACATAAATATAGATGATAGATAATTTGTAGATAGACACAAAATAGATAAATAGATAGAAATGTGCAGAAAGTTATGAACAAGACAGAAAGTGAGAGACTCAAAATTAAAGAAAAAGGAAGATCAAGTCAACCAATCCAAGGAGGGTCAGAGAGAATAAAACAATCCAAAAAGGGAAAACATACCTCAGGGTGGGGAAGTGAGGTCATAGACCTAGAGAGACAGAAAAGGTAGAAGGAGGAAACAGATATGAAGAGAGATGGGGTGGAGGGTGAGAGAGAGAGAGAGAGCATTAGGTCATAGAGCAGGGGAGTGAGTTCTCAGCTCAGGTATGAGGGGAGCTATGACAAGGAAGAACCTCCCTGAGGAAACTGCCTCTTCTCCTTCCAGGTCCATATGAGAAACCTTCTCTCTCAGCCCAGCCGGGCCCCAAGGTTCAGGCAGGAGAGAGCGTGACCTTGTCCTGTAGCTCCCGGAGCTCCTATGACATGTACCATCTATCCAGGGAGGGGGGAGCCCATGAACGTAGGCTCCCTGCAGTGCGCAAGGTCAACAGAACATTCCAGGCAGATTTCCCTCTGGGCCCTGCCACCCACGGAGGGACCTACAGATGCTTCGGCTCTTTCCGTCACTCTCCCTACGAGTGGTCAGACCCGAGTGACCCACTGCTTGTTTCTGTCACAGGTGAGAAAAGCCCATATCTCTCTCATGTCCTATGATCCTAAATCCTTAGCTAAGGAGCTTCCTGCTGATGATGGAGAAAAGCATGGACAGATGCAGAGAGAAGACACAGCAGGTGTGAGGGCGGAGTCAGGGCGCAGGATGGCAGACAGGGCACCTCCAAACCCTCCTTCATGGCCTGCATGGAGGCCTCCGATCAGGGCTCCAGGCACCCAGGCAGATGGAGAAAGCGGTCAGGACAGACCCAGAGAAGGGGAGACTGGGCTTAGTTTGGGGAGATCAGAGGTTCCCTCAGCCCCTCAATCTTATCCATTTCCCAGAAGCCCATCATGGCCTCTCACCCACACAGAGAGATATCATCACCAGCAACCCCTACACCCTTTTCTTTTCATTTTCAAAAATATTTATTGAGGTTAAATGTAACTATATAATTTACCACCTTTACCATTTTTAAAAGTAAAATCTAGTGGTCATAAATACCTTTATATGCTGGGTGTGGTGGTTCACGGTTGTAATCTCGGCGCTTTGAGAGGCCAAGGAAGGTGGATCATTTAAGATCAGGAACTCGAGATCACCCTGGCCAACATGTGGGAAATTCATCTTTACTAAACAGACAAGAAAAATTAGCCGAGCATGCTGGCATGCACCTGTAGTCCTAGCTACTTGGGAGGCTGAGGCAGGAGAAGCACTTAAACCCAGGAGGCAGAGGTTGCACTGAGCCGAGATCATGCCACTGCACTGCAGCCTGGGAGACAGAGAGAGACTCTGTTTCTAAATAAATAAATACATCTATATTCTTTTTTTTGTTACCCTCCACCCTTCCCTTCCTGGCCTCTGGTGTCCACCATTGTATTCTCCACCTTCATGAGATCCACCTTTTATCTCCTGCATGTGGGTGAGAAATGGGAATCTTTGTAATGACCTCCAGTTCCATCCATGTGGCTGCAAATGACAGGATGTTATTGTTTCTATGGATGAGTAGTCTCCACTGTGTGTGTGTACCACAGTTCTCTATCCATTCACCCACTGATGGGCAGGTAGGTTGACTCCACATCTTGGCTACTGTGAACAGTGCTGGAACAGTCATATGAGTGCAGATATCACTTCGATACACTGATGTCCTTTCCTTTGGATATAAACCCAGTAGTGAAATTGCTGGACACTATGAAAGTTCTCTTTTTTTTTTTTTCTTTTTTGAGAAAGAGTTTCCCTCCTTAGTCCAAGCTGGAGTCTAAGTGGTGAGATCTTGGCTCATTGCAACCTGTGCCTCCTAGGTTCAAATGATTGTCCTGACTCAGCCTCCCTAGTAGCTGTGATTACAGGTGCACGCCACCATGCCTGGCTAATTTTTGTATTTTTTTAGCACAGACGGGATATCCCAATTTTGGGCAGGCTGCTCTCAAACTCCTGACCTCAAGTGAGGTGCCTGCCTCGGTTTCCCAAAGTGCTGAAGTTACAGGCATAAGCCACTATGCCCAGCCTCCTTTTAGTTTTTTAAAGAATTTCCATACTTTTCTCCATAATAGTTGTACTAATTTACATTCCTACCAACAGGGTACCAGGGTTCTCCTTTCTCTACCATCTTGCCAGCATTTGTTTTGCCTGTCTTGCAGTAAAAGCCATTTTACTTTACTTTATTTTATTTATTTATTTATGTTGAGATGGAGTTTCACTCATAGTCTCCCAGGCTGGAGTGCAAGGGTGTGATCTCAGCTCACTGCAACCTCCGCCTCCCGCGTTCAACTGATTCTCCTGCCTCAGCCTCCAAAGTAGCTGGGATTACAGGCATGTGCCACCACGCCTAGCTAATTTTTGTATGTTTAGTAGAGAGGGAGTTTCTCCATGATGGTCAGGCTGGTCTCCCGACCTCAGGTGATCCGCCCACCTCCGCCTCCTGAAGTGCCGGAATTACAGGCGTGAGCCACCGGCCTAAAAGGCATTTTAATGGGATGAGATGAAAACTCATCGCGATTGTAATTTACATTTCTCTGATGATGAGTGATGCCGAGTACTTTTTCATATACGTGATCGCCATTTCTATGTTTTGTTTGTGGAGAAATGTCTCCTCATGTCTTTTGCTCGTTTTTTAATTAAATTGTTTTATTGAGTTGTTTGAGCTTCTTATATTTCCAGTTATTAATCCCGTCTCAGATGAATAGTTTGCAAATATTTGCTCCTATTTTGTCGGTTGTCTCTTCACTTTCTTGGTTTATCTTTTGTGGTGCAGAAGTTGCTTGGTTTGATGTAATCCTAATGGTCTATTTTTTGCTTTGATTACTTGTGTTTTGAAGGTTTTAAACAAAATGTCTTTCGTCAGACAAATGTCTTCCCCATTATTTTCTTCTACATGTTTCATAGGTTCAGGCCTTAGACTCATGTTTTTAATCCATTTTCATTTGATTTTTGTGTATGGTGACAGGTATAGATGCAGTTTTATTCCTCTGCATGTAGATATCCAGTTTTCCCCACACCATTTATTGAAAAGACTGTCCTTTCCTGATTGTAAGTTCTCGGCACCTTTGTCAAAGTCCATTAAATGGGCTGGGTATGGTGGCTCACACCTGCAATTCCAGCACTTTGGGAGGCCGAGGCGGGTGGATCACCTGAAGCCAGGAGTTCAAGATCAGGCTGGCCAACAGAGTGAAACCTCGTCTCTACTAAAAATACAAAAATTAGCTGAGCATGGTGACCAGTGCCTGTAATACCACTACTCGGGTGTTTGAGGCAAGAGAATTGCTTGAATCCAGGAAGTGGAGGTTGCATTGAGCTGAGATTGCACCTCTGCACTCCAGCCTGCATGACAGAGCAAGATTCTAACACACACACACACAAAAAAAGCCATTGGATGTAAATGCATGGATTATATCTGTGTTCTCCATTCTGTTTCATTTTTTATGTGCCTTTCTTTATGCCAATGTCATGCTGTTTTGCTTACTACAGCTCTGTAACATATTTCTAAGTCAGGTAGTGTGATGCTCCTGTTTTCTCTTTATACCTTCAAGTCTCAAGACAGTGGGCATCGCACACAAAAATTATGGAGAAGAGGATCCCAAGACTCCCAGGGTCCAACATTAGATAACAGAGTGTTGGCCATGAACCAACCTCAAAGATTTCCATTGAGTAGAGGACAAGCACCCTCATTTCCTCACATCTCTCCTGTCCCATGTTCTAGGAAACCCTTCAAGTAGTTGGCCTTCACCCACAGAACCAAGCTCCAAATCTGGTGAGTAAAGGACCCCTCTTATCTCTGCTTTTGGAAACCTGGGGAGGTGGAAGCCTTGGATGCAAGTGTTGGCTCAAACCTCCCAGCTCTGTGAATGAGGGCCTGTCTTCCACCATCTCTGAACTCCAGACACTCCAACAGTGAAAGGGATCTAGGGCCACCAAAGGGCTCAGCGAAGTCTCTTAACCTTTAATGTCCTGCAGGTGAGACCTCCTACAAGCTAGAAGAATGATTGCCAATCTGACATCCTTCTCAGGAAACATGCAGTGTTTTTTCTTCCTGCATTCCTAACTGGAGGATAAATTCCTGGGGACTTGAGAGAGGGAAGGGAAGGGAACATCTGATGAGGGCGAGGTGTTTTAGAGAAGTTCCACTTGCCAAGGAATGAATTACTGTTGGTCATGAAGCAACCCTGGCTGACTCAGCAGAGCAAGAGCCTTGCCGTAACAGAGAACAGAGCTCATGCACGCACACTTCGACTCACTGACTCATTCAGCCACGGCCCCATGCTCAGGCTGTGCAGTTGGAATCCTTTCCTATTGTTGCCATAACAAATTTCCACAAGATTCGTGGGTGAAAACAAAACGGTTTTTTAATTATCTTACAGTGCTGTAGCTCAAAGTAGGAAGTGCATCTTACTGGGCTAAAATCAAGGTGACAGCAAGGCTGCCTTCCCTCTGAGGATTCCAGGCAAGAATCTGCTTCTCACTTGTCCCAGCTTCTAAAGGCTCCCAGTTCCTTGGCTCCTGGTCCCCTTCCTCCTTCCTCAAAGCCCACAAAGACTGGTCACATCTCACATGGCATCACTCAGACCCTTCTTCCTTACCACACCTCTTTCTCTGAATGCTGCTCTCCCTTCTTCCTTATCTTTTGAAAACTTGGGGATTCTATTGGGTTCACCAAGATGAAAATCCATCATAATCTCCCGGAAATCATTCAGGATACCCTTGTTTTAAGTTCAGCTGACTAGCAACCGTAATTCCATCTGCAATCTTCATTCCTTCTTTCCATGTAAAATAAGATATTCACAAGCTATGGAGGCTAGGACAGGGACATTTTGGGGTGGGACAGCATTCTCCTGCCTTCCACGAACGGTGAACAAGATGCATTTGGCCTCTGCTCTTGGGACACTGATATTGCAGATGGTTAAATGGGAGGACAGAAAATGAATGCACAAGTGGACCAATAAATGAATGATCCATTGGGAAGCATCTGTGCATGAAATCTATTTGTTTGTTCGTTCATTTATTTATTGAGACAGAGTCTCCCTCTGTCTTCCAGGCTACAGTGCAGTGTCACGATCTTGGCTCACTGCAACCTGCGTCTCCTGGATCCAAGTGATTCTCCTGCCTCACCCTCTCGAGTAGCTGGGATTACAGGCAACTGCCACCATGCCCGGCTAATTCTTTTTGTATATTTTTTGTAGAGAGGATGTTTCACCATGTTGGCCAAGCTTGTCTGAAACTCCCAACCTCAAGTGATCCGACCATCTCAGCAACCCAAAGTACTGGGATTACAGGCGTGAGCCACTTTGCCCAGCCAGAATTCAAAATAAATAATAGATAATGCTGAGTGTATAATTTTGGGTGACAGAGAAGGTCTCACTAATCAGATATTTGTGACATTAATGAAAAACACGGATTGAACCCCTGAAAGATTGGCGGAAGGATTTTCCACACACAGCTGTCAGCCGTGAAGGCAGAAAGCTGAAAACAATCTGATGTGGAAGGAAGAGGCTCTGCCTGAAATGCTGGGAATGAGGTGGGGAGAATGACAAGACGACTGTGGAGAGACGGAGAGCACACTGGGTACACAGGAAACTAAGGAGCAACAAGGAGTGTGTGTTTGACACTCACAGCCATTGGATTCACCTCGGGGTAGCCAGGAATCCCTACATGATTAATAGTGACTGACATGAAAATAAGGGAGGCCCAGGTGCGTAACTGGAATCTAGGAGACAGTGGAAAAGGCAATTGCCGCCCCACTGGTGAAATGTGGTGCTGATTTAGACCCTAAGTGGATGAAGCAGATGGATATAAGCTATGTTTGGGAGGTAGAATCATTTGCAGGGAGGGCTTGCTGGGTTTGAGTTTCCTAGTTGTTTAATCCTTGCTAAATTAATTTCTTTCTGAGATTTATTCCTCCTACACATAAATCAATACCTGCCAAAGGAGTGACAGATATATGAGGGGTGGTGGAAATGAAGGGACCTATTATAGCATAGTATACAAGTCTGTGAACGGTGGCTCACTCCTGTAACCCAGCACTGCAGGAGGCTAAGGCCAGTGGATTCCAAGAAGTCAGGAGTTCGAGACCAGCCTGGCCAACATGGAGAAACCCTATCTCTACATGGTGAAACCCTATCTCTCCTAAAAATACAAAAATTAGCCGAGCATGGTGGTGCATCCCTGTAATCCCAGCTCCTGCTCTGGAGGATGAAGCAGGAGAATGACTTCAACCCAGGAGGTGGAGGTTGCAGTGAGTGGAGATCGCATCACTGCACTCCAGCCTGGGTGACACAAGGAGACTCCATCTCAAAAAATAAAAATAAGAAATGCATAAATATAATAAAACACACACGAATGACAAAGGCACCTGAATTCCCATCATCATTTTTCTATTTCTCTATAATTACTTCTTTGATCCTTTATCTTATCCATTAGGCAATCAGCCTAAAACCTCTTCCGTATTTGGCTTTCTGTGAGCATGAGATCATATAGAAAATGTGAAAGCCCGCTGAATCCTCCAGCACAAATCCTGGAATAGAGAAAGTGCTCTGGTCATCACAAAAAAAACTTGCCCCCTCACCCAAATCCCCCATCTCACCCCTACTTCCAATCACCTGTGGAGATACAGATAGATCATGGGGAGGTAAATGCTAATACTCCTTGGAGTGAGTCCAGATCTTGGAATCAGAGATCAGTGCCAGCACTAGCTCCTGCTCCCCTTTCCTACTAATTCACAGGAGGACAGGTGGTATTGAAGCAATAGATAGTCGAGGGGGTGGTCCTTCCCCCAGCCTCTGAGGTAGAACAGCAGCCTAACATGTGTCTCCCGAGATCACAAAGAGTAGCACATTTCACACGGGCTTCAACACTATTTTCTGGCTGTTTGACATAAGAGAATTCTACTTCGCTTTTTTTATATTGATTTCACTTTTGTTTCCTTTTCTTGGAGAATGCAAGTTGTTTAACTCAAGAATGCCGTGGATGTAGAAATCCTAAAGCACATTCGCTGTGTATCAATCCCAGTCCAGTCTTCCCAGAGAAGACTCTAAACACCTCCTGGACTGCACCTGGGCCTATGCCAATTCCTATCACTCACCGTCACTCCAGGGAGACAGAACACACAGAGAATACGTTACATAGGCAGGTTCATTACTAACAGATAAGCAGCGAGTGACAACAGAAGCCTACATTTCAATGTGAGCCAGTTCCCCAAGGCTCAGAAAAGCTGCTCGAGACATGTGGAGTCACCCCATTTGCAGTGTAGCTGGGGGAAGCCAGAAAGCAGCCCAGCCTGGGTTTTGTACCCTGGAGCCACAGGAAGCACTCAGCTAAAGCACTGCATGACGTCCTCCTCCAGGAAGAACAGGAAGACAGCCCAGGCTGTTCTGGGACGATCCTCCTGATCTCAGGACTTTGCTGTCTTAGTCCATTTTTGTTGCTCTAAAGGAACACTTGAGCCTGGGTAACTTCTAAAGAAGAGATTGGTTTGCCTCACCATTCTGCAGGCTGTACTGGAAGCATGGCACCAGCATCTATTTCTTATGATGGCCTCAGGCCGCTCCCACTCTGGCAGAAGGGAAGGAGGGTCTGTCTGTGCAGAGACCACAGAGATCACACGGCAAGAGAGGGAGCAAGGGGGAGGGGGAGCAATGGAGCTTCCAAGCTCTTTTTAACAACCAGCTCTCCAGGAACTAATAGAGAGGGAACTTGCTAACCCCGTCTCCTTGGGACAGCATTGATCTGTTCATGATGGATCCACCTCCATGACCCAAACACCTCCCAAGAGGCCCAACCTCCCACACTGGGGGTTAAATTTCAATGTGAGGTTTGAAGGGGTCAAACATCTCAACTAAAGTAGTTGTATCCTCAGCACGTTCCATGGTTACTATGAGAGCTATAACTGAGAAAGCAGGAGGAAGCTAGATCTCCCGCCATCTGGGTGCTTGTCCGAAAGAGATGCTGTAAGTGGTTACCTGTCAATCAAGAAATGCAAGACAATTCATATAGAGAAACTGCTATGATTAGCTTCTTACTGGTGTCTCCTCTTCTTCCAGGTAACCCCAGACACCTGCACATTCTGATTGGGACCTCAGTGGTCATCATCCTCTTCATCCTCCTCCTCTTCTTTCTCCTTCATCTCTGGTGCTCCAACAAAAAAAGTAAGTCTCACGGGGCACAGGCCAGAGAGCTCAGGGCCATGTGGGGAAGCAGGATGGGAGCACACAGCTGTGTTCCTCACTGGCAGGATGGTCCCTGGCCCAAGACAGGAGCCACAGAGGCAGGACTTTCTAGAGAGAGCACCAGACTCCCTGCCCCTGCCTTCAGCTCACAGACCGTTGCCTGATTCTGAACTGTATCCTCATGTCCCCTGCAGCCACTCACATCCAGGAGAAGGTTCCATGAGAGGCAGAAAGTGGGAGACAGAATCAATGGGATGGGAACTCAGAGCTATTCATGGGATGGGTCCTTGAGCTCAGAGAGATAGAATGTCTGAGTCTGCTGTTGGCAACTGAGGGACCTCAGGCACCTATGGCCTCCCCCTGTTTGTTGGTATCTGCTTATGAAATGAGGACCCAGAAGTGCCCTCCGAGCTCTTTTGTTGACTTCCGTCTCCTACAGATGCTGCTGTAATGGACCAAGAGCCTGCAGGGAACAGAACAGCCAACAGCGAGGTAGGTGCTCCTCGGCCCAGCCTCGTGGCTAGTGTTATTCCCAAACAGTCCTGGAAAACGTGAGCACCCTCCCTCACTCAGCATTTCCCTCCCTCACTCAGCATTTCCCTCTCTCCAGGACTCTGATGAACAAGACCCTGAGGAGGTGACATACGCACAGTTGGATCACTGCGTTTTCACACAGAGAAAAATCACTCGCCCTTCTCAGAGGCCCAAGACACCCCCTACAGATACCATCTTGTACACGGAACTTCCAAATGCTAAGCCCAGATCCAAAGTTGTCTCCTGCCCATGAGCACCACAGTCAGGCCTTGAGGACATCTTCTAGGGAGACAACAGCCCTGTCTCAAAACCGAGTTGCCAGCTCCCATGTACCAGCAGCTGGAATCTGAAGGCGTGAGTCTTCATCTTAGGGCATCGCTCCTCCTCACGCCACAAATCTGGTGCCTCTCTCTTGCTTACAAATGTCTAGGTCCCCACTGCCTGCTGGAAAGAAAACACACTCCTTTGCTTAGCCCACAGTTCTCCATTTCACTTGACCCCTGCCCACCTCTCCAACCTAACTGGCTTACTTCCTAGTCTACTTGAGGCTGCAATCACACTGAGGAACTCACAATTCCAAACATACAAGAGGCTCCCTCTTGACGTGGCACTTACCCACGTGCTGTTCCACCTTCCCTCATGCTGTTTCACCTTTCTTCGGACTATTTTCCAGCCTTCTGTCAGCAGTGAAACTTATAAAATTTTTTGTGATTTCAATGTAGCTGTCTCCTCTTCAAATAAACATGTCTGCCCTCATTGCTTCAGGTAATGTGACACTGTATTCGCTGAAAGAAACCGCTGTTATCATTACCATGTCCACATAACCCCATCTGTTCTCCGCTGGGTTCTCACCCCTGGATTCTGAGCTTCTGGAAGCAGGGTGGAGCCTCATTTGTCTCTGGGACTCCAATTTCCATCCAAAGATGCAGCACATAGGAGGTTCCAAGGATCGTGAATCACATGAACAAGTGATATTCTTACTCTCTGCAACCTGGAAAGCTGGCAGAGTCATTCCACGATGAAACATTTGTAGAGTCATAAGCCTTGCTAGTCTCATCTCCACGGGGACACATATCAACACATCATATTTCATACTATAAATATACAGTCGCTCCTCCATATCTGTGGGGTTTACAGGTGTTTATTGAACCAAGTGTAAATCAAAAATATTCAGAGAAAATGTCCACAAAGTTTCAAAATGCAAAACTATGTTGAATGGACACAAATGAGGCAGTGTGTAGGCTGTATCAGGAATTATAAGTAATCAAGAGATGATTTCATGTATACAGGAGGATGTGCATGGGTTATATCCAAATGCTGTGTCATTTTATGTAAGAGGCTTGAGCATCTGCAGATTTTGGTACCTGAGTGGAGATCCTGAAACCAATCACCCACGAATAGTAAAGGATGACCGTATATGACTTTTATTTCTCAATTTTAAATATAAATCATAAAAAATGTACAATAACTAGATAAAAAGTAAGAAGTGTTTTTATAGTGTGAGAATAAGTTTAGATTTATTTTTTCCTACGTGTAACCCTTTGGTTTAATATTATTTATTAAGAAGACATTCTATGCCACCTTAAACCACACGGCAGCCTTTGTCAACTCTAAAGGGACTGTGTGTACACGGATGTATTTTAGACACTGTTTCTGCTAAGGGGCTCTCTGTGTCCACACTCTTGAGGATGCTGCACTTCATGTAGCCTTATAAAACCCTTTAAATTTAGTAGCCAGAGCCCTCTAATTTGTTATTATAGGCTACTTGCTATTTTTTTTTCTTGAGGCGGAGTCTTGCTCTGTCGCCCAGGCGGGACTGTAGTGGAGCAATCTCAGCTCACTGCAACTTCCGCCTCCCAGGTTCAGGCGATTCTCGTGCCTCAGCCTCTTGAGTAGCTGGCGTTACAGGTGCCTGCCACCAGGCACGGCTAATTTTTGGATTTTTAGCAGAGACACGGTTTCACTATGTTGGCCAGGCTGCTCTCAATCTCCTCATCTCAGTTGATCCGCCCACCTCGGCTTCCCGACCTGCTGGGGGAAACTTGATTTTCTATAGCATTATGTTACTGGATATTTCTGTAAAATTTAAAATGAGGGAGGCAGAGAGACAGAGAGAGAGCAAACTCCAAAGTTGGGACTCTGGAATCTTGAGTCATGAGACAAATTATAGATAAAACTACAAAAATCCAGAATTTACATGTGTGGTTTTTGCTGATAAAGTACAATTCTAAGATTGTAAATAATTGCATAATCCTTCCCTGGGAATTTAAATCATTTGAACTGGTTCTGCTGTAATACTAGAAATACAAGCATGAACAATTCTAATGGTTTATTAGTCACAATGACTCTGAAAACACTAATAATACCTATTAGATATTTTGCATATTACACAGGAAGAAGAGTTCGAATCTCAGATAAAAACAATAAAAATTCATGAAAAGTCTTTCATGTTAGCACAGATTTTAGGCATCTCATGTTTGGGAGGTTGGATCTAAGACATGTTTTGAGTTGGTCATAGTGAAGGACGCGAGGTGTCAATTCTAGTGAGAGCAATTTCCAGGAAGCCATGTTCCGCTCTTGAGCGAGCACCCACTGGGCCTCATGCAAGGTAGAAAAAGCCTGCGTACGTCACCCTCCCATGATGTGGTCAACATGTAAACTGCATGGGCAGGGCGCCAAATAACATCCTGTGCGCTGCTGAGCTGAGCTGGGGCGCGGCCGCCTGTCTGCACCGGCAGCACCATGTCGCTCATGGTCATCATCATGGCGTGTGTTGGTGAGTCCTGGAAGGGAATAGAGGGAGGGAGCGTGGGGATGGAGATCTGGGCCCAGAGGTGGAGATATGGGCCTGGAGGTGGAGTTATGGGCCTGGAGTGGAGATCTGGGCCTAGAGATGGAGTGATGAGCCTAGAAGTGGAGATCTGCGCCTGGAGTGGAGATCTGGGCCTGGAGTGAAGATCTGGGCCTGGAGTGGAGATATGGGCCTGGAGTGGGGATAGGAACCTGGAGTGGAGAGAGGAACCTGGAGGAGAGATAGGAACCTGGAGGGGAGGTAGGAGCCTAGGGTGGAGATATGGGACTGGAGTGGAGATATGGGACTGGAGTGGAGATATGGGCCCGGAGTGGAGTTATGGGCCTGGAGTGAAGTTATGGGCCTGGAGGTGGAGATACGGGCCTGGAGTGGAGATATGAGCCTGGAGTGGAGATATGGTCCTGGAGTGGAGATATGGGCCTGGAGTGGAGATATGGGTCTGCAGTGGAGTTATGGGCCTGGAGTGAAGTTATGGGCCTGGAGGTGGAGATATGGGACTGGAGTGGAGATATGGGACTAGAGTGGAGATAGGGGCCTGGAGGTGGAGATCTGGGCCTGGAGTGGAGATCTGGGCCTGGAGTGGAGATCTGGGCCTGGAGTGGAGATATGGGCCTGGAGTGGAGATATGGGTCTGCAGTGGAGATATGGGCCTGGAGGTGGAGATATGGGCCTGGAGTGGAGTTATGGGCCTGGAGTGAAGTTATGGGCCTGGAGGTGGAGATATGGCCCTGGAGTGGAGATATGGGCCTGGAGTGGAGATCTGGGCCTACGGTGGAGATATGGGCCTAGGATGGGGATATGGGCCTGGAATGGAGATATGGGCCTGGGTGTGGAGATATGGGACTGGAGTGGAGATATGGGCCTGATGTGGAGATATGGGCTTGGAGTGGAGATATGATCCTGGAGTGTAGTTATGGGCCTGGAGGTGGAGATCTGGGCCTGGGGTGGAGATATGGGCCTGGAGTGGAGATATGGGACTGGAGAGGAGATATGGGACTGGAGTGGAGATATGGGCCTGGAGTGGAGATATGGGCCTGGATTGGAGATATGGGCCGAGGGTGGAGATCTGAGCCTGGATTGGAGATGTGGGCCCGGATTGGCTATATGGGTCTAGGGTGGAAATATCGGCCTGGAGTGGAGATATGGGCCTGGAGTGGAGATATGGGCTTGGGGTGGGGATATGGGCCTGGAGGCTGGGTCTCTGCACAGCCGAGAGCACTGTTCTTGGGTGCAGGTAGGCACTGATGGTGAGTTTCCCTTCGGCCCAGGAAGGGGCTGGCTATCAAGACTCACAGCCCAGTGGGGGCAGCAAGGAAGGCCTTGTTTGCCTGCAAATGGATCTTCCATCATGATCTTTCTTTCCAGGGTTCTTCTTGCTGCAGGGGGCCTGGCCACAGGAGGGTAAGTCCTTCTCCAAACCTTAGGGTGTCATCTCCCCACATAAGAGGATTTTCCTGAAACGGGAGGGAAGTCCTGTCAGGGAGTCTCTCATAAACTAGGAAGAGGGGACCCTGGGGTGCTCGGCCCACAGTTCCGACCTTGCCTCCCTGGCCTCTCAACCCCTTGGCAGAGTCAAGTTGTGTGGGGACCAGGGTTGGACTAGGGTGTTCAAAGCTGGGTTGTGTGGTGGGGAAGTGGTAGGAACAGCAGATCCTCTGAGGACAAAGGTGTTACTCACACACTTCAGCGTTTCCATGACGGTAGGGGCTGCAGTGTGGCTGCTGTCATTCTACCAGAAGAGGTGGGAAACCACAGCCATGGCCCTGACATTCCAAATCCTCTGATGGGGGCTAAGTTTTTTATTTTCATTCAGGCAACTGCTGATATTCCATTCTCAAAGGACATGCCCTCCACTTCATGTCTACCCTGTGTTGTTTTATGTCAGTAATCTTACAGTATTAAAATCTAGTAGGAGTCTCTTACTCAGCACTTGCTCAAAGTTCTCAGCTGACACTTTTGTTGTACGGAGACACCTTGTCTTTGTGGGATGGGTCCTTCCTTTAGCCCTAGGCACCAAGGTGTGATAGCAGCCATAGAAATGTGGAAAGTGGGGAGAATCTTCTGAGCACAGGGAGGGAGGCACAGCTCCACATCCTCCTCTCTAAGGCGGCGCCTCCTTCACCCCAAGGTGGTCAGGACAAGCCCTTGCTTTCTACCTGGCCCAGCCTTGTGGTGCCTCCAGAACATGTGACTCTTCAGTGTCACTCTAATCTTGGGTTTAACAACTTCAGTCTGTACAAGGATGATGGGGTGCCTGTCCCTGAGCTGTACAACAGAATATTCTGGAAAAGCCTTTTCATGGGCCCTGTGACCCCGTCACATGCAGGGACCTATAGATGCCGGGGTTCACACACACACTCCCCCAGTGGGTGGTCGGCACCCAGCAACCCCCTGGTGATCATGGTCACAGGTCAGAGGGCTCCTGTCTGGGATTCTCCTTGTCCCACCTCCTGAATCCCAGAGCTTCTGGTAGGCATGTCCTTGAGGGTCCCATCACGCAGGCCCTAACTGTATTTGGGGTAAAGGGGGATTGAATACAGGGAAATGGGTGCTGTGGTGGGAAGAATAAGTGTCCCCAGTGATGACTGCATTCTAATCCCTGGAGTCTGTGACTATTTATGTTATAGGGGAAGGGACTGAAGGGGAAGATGGAGCTCAGGTTGTTGATGAGTTGACCTTGAGATGGGGAGACAGCCTGGACTGTCCCGGTGGGCTCAATATAATCACAAGTGTCCACATGAAAGGAGGAGGAAGAGGAGAGTGGGGATTAGAGCAGCGTAGTGGGAGACTCCATCAGCTTTGAAGGTGGATGAAGGCCATAAGCCATGAATGCAGGTGGCCTATAGAGGCTGGGAAAGTCAAGTAACTGATTCTCCTGAGTCTCCAGAGGGAACACAGCCCTGCAGATGCCTTGATTTTAGCCCTCGAAAAACAGGGTCCGCTTTCTGTCTCCAGAATCGGAGGGGGTCAGTGTGCTCTCTCCTGCTGCCATGCTTCTGATAATTTTCTACAGCAGCAACAGGAAACCAACACTGGAACCCAGGTCAAGGACAAGTTAAGAAAAGACACAAGGATAGCCAGGCATGGTGGCAGGTGCATGTAATCCTAGCGACTCGGGAGGCTGAGAGCAGGAGAATCGCTTGAACCCAGGAGACAGAGGTTGCAGTGAGCGTAGACCACACCACTTCACTCCAGCCTGGGTGAAGGAGTGAGACTCTGTCTCCAAAATTAATTAATTAATTAAAGAAACCAAACAAAGAGAAGGTTGGCTACACCGAGATCAGCAAGGGTGGGATGATGATGCCACCACCAGGCTCCATCCACATAGGGAGGGGTTGATACTCCTCAAATCAGCACGAGGAGCCAGCCTATGGAAACTGGCACCATGGAGAAGGCACAGACATGGCAAGAGTGGCTCCCAGTCCCCACCAGGAACAGGGTGTGTGGACACTGGTGCCTGCCTTACTGATCAGTTCATACCTCCTGCCAAGGATTCCAATTCGTCCAAAAGAGATTGAACCAGGCTGCTAAGAGCCGGGACGTGCAGCCTATCCTGCTTCCTCTTCCACTCCCACATAGACAGTAAGAAAGACATTAGTGTGAAATAGATACAACAGCCCAAGAGATGAGGCTGAGCCCAGTGGGAAGGGAATCACAGCTACTAGAGACAGAGGGACAGAGAAGAGGGAGGGAGACAGATGGAAGGACCTGCACCAGGAGTTATGGGCACAGAAAAGAACATGAAGACACAGAGAGGAAGCAGAGAGACAGACACCAGCGAAGGGAAGGCTCACTCATTCCAGGTGCCATGGATGGGATGATAAAGAGAGACACCTTCTAAACTCACAACCTCTCTTCCTAGGAGTCCACAGAAAACCTTCCTTCCTGGCCCTCCCAGGTCACCTGGTGAAATCAGAAGAGACAGTCATCCTGCAATGTTGGTCGGATGTCATGTTTGAGCACTTCCTTCTGCACAGAGAGGGGAAGTTTAACAACACTTTGCACCTCATTGGAGAGCACCATGATGGGGTTTCCAAGGCCAACTTCTCCATTGGTCCCATGATGCCTGTCCTTGCAGGAACCTACAGATGCTACGGTTCTGTTCCTCACTCCCCCTATCAGTTGTCAGCTCCCAGTGACCCTCTGGACATGGTGATCATAGGTGAGAGTGTCCAGACATTCTTCTCATTGTCATTGGGATGCAGAGTGAATGATCCAGGACTTGGAGACCCAGGTGGTTGTAAGGAAGATGAGCTTGGTATTCTTATGGAGAGAGACTGACTTGGTGAGGTCTGTGCCAACAGAGACAGAGAAACAAGAGACACAAGTACAGACCAGGTGTCATAACAGAGGACAAACACAGGGGCCATACCGGGAGTTAGAAAAGACAGAAAGAGTTAAAGGAGACAGACAGACATGTCCCAGACAGAGGTGTCCTTCCATGCTGACTTTGCTCAGAGACCTGGCACAGGTTAGAAGTTTCATTTCTGTTTTACCTCCACAAAGTGTTCTCTACCAGGAGAACCCAAGGACACCCATATTTCTGACCTGAGTTGGGCCCTGTGGCCTCAGGCCTTGTGGCACCTACAGATGCCATGCTTATTCTGACACCTCTGACTTCCATGCAATGGAGAATAATCGTCCCAAAATATCATGGCCCCAGAACACCAACCCCTGTATGCTGTGTGAACTTGTGGTCTCCAGACTGGATTCTGAGGCTCACATTCCAAATAACCCCACATATCACATATGAGAGGATCACTGAGAAGCACAGAGAGAAATCAGGGACACCAAAAAGCAAAGACATAAACACACAGAGAAAGAGCCAGAGGAAGGAGATTGAGAGACTCACAGACACATAAAGAGAGAGAAGAGGGCAGAGAAGTGGAGAGAATGATGGAAGAGAGCAGAGAAAACCACTAAAATTAGAGTCCTGAGGGCGAGGCACAAGGGCATAGAAAGATGGAGATGTGGGGATGAATTGCAGAGATTCCAAAGAGAACTAGAGAGACCGAGAGGCAGAGCAAGACAGATGATAGATGGATAGATACAGATAGATGATGGATAGATATAGATAGATGATATATAGGTAGATGATAGATAATAGGTTATAGATACATAGATGATGATTGATTGATTCATTAATAGATGATACATAGAGATGATGATGATGAAGATAGATGGATAGATAATACATAGAGATAGAGAGGAAGACAAAGAGAGAAATAATAGAGAGAGAGAGATGATACATATATATAGATAATAGATGATTGACGGATAGACAATTGATAGATAAATAGATGATATATAGATATAGATGACAGGTAGAGAATTTGTAGATAGGCACCGAATAGATAAATAGATGGATTGATAGATAATAGATAGAAATATGCAGAAAGTTATGAACGGGACACAAACTGAGAAACTCAGAGTTAAAAAAAGTAACATCAAGTCAACCAATCCAAGGAGAGCCAGAGAGAATAAAACAATCCAAAAAAGGAAAACATAACTAGAGGTAGGGAAGTGAGGTCAGAGACCTACAGAGACAGAGAAGGTGGAAGGAGGAAATAGACATGAAGAGAGATAGGGTGGAGGGTGAGACAGAGAAAGAGAGCATTAGGCCATAGAGCAGGGGAGTGAGTTCTCAGGTCAGGTGTGAGGGGAGCTGTGACAAGGAAGATCCCCCCTGAGGAAACTGCCCCTTCTCCTTCCAGGTCTATATGAGAAACCTTCTCTCTCAGCCCAGCCGGGCCCCACGGTTCAGGCAGGAGAGAATGTGACCTTGTCCTGCAGCTCCCGGAGCTCCTATGACATGTACCATCTATCCAGGGAAGGGGAGGCCCATGAACGTAGGCTCCCTGCAGTGCGCAGCATCAACGGAACATTCCAGGCCGACTTTCCTCTGGGCCCTGCCACCCACGGAGGGACCTACAGATGCTTCGGCTCTTTCCGTGACGCTCCCTACGAGTGGTCAAACTCGAGTGATCCACTGCTTGTTTCCGTCACAGGTGAGGAAACCCCATATCTGTCCCATGTCCTATGATCCTAGAGCCTTAGCTGAGGAGCTTCCTGCTGATGATGGAGAGAAGCATGGACAGATGCAGAGAGAAGACGCAGCATGCCTGTGAGGGAGGGATCAGGGCGCAGGATGGCACACACAGCACCTCCAAACCCTCCTGCATGGCCTGCATGGAGGCCTCCGATTAGGGCTCCAGAAACCCAGGCAGATGTAGAAAGCGGTCAGGAGAGACCCAGAGAAGGGGAGACTGGGCTCAGTTTGGGGAGATCAGAGGTTCCCTCAGCCCCTCAACCTTACCCATTTCCCAGAAGCCCTTCCTGGCCTCTCACCCACACAGAGATGTCATCACCAGCAACCCCTACATCCTTTTCTTTTTGTTTGAAAAAATATTCATTGAGGTTAAATATACCTATATAGCTTACCACTTTTAACATTTTTTTTTTTTTGAGGTGGAGTCTAGCTCTGTCTCCTATGCTGGAATGCAGTGGCACAATCTCAGCTCACTGTAACCTCCGCCTCCTGGGTTCAAGCGATTCTCCTGCCTCAGCCACCTGAGTAGCTGGTACTACAGGCGCCCATCACCACGCCGGGCTACTTTTTGTATATTTAGTAGAGAGGGGGTTTCACCATGTTGGTCGAGCTGCTCTGGAACTCCTGACCACGTGATCCACCCGCCTCAGGCTCCCAAAGTGCTGGGATTACAGGCATGAGCCACCGCGCCCGGCCACGTTTACCAATTTTAAGTGTAAGGTCTAGTGGTCATAAATACATACATATAAATTTTTTGTTTGTTTGTTTTATCCTCCACCCTTTTCTTCCTGGCCTCTGGTAGCCACCATTCTACTCTCTATCTTCATGAGATCCACCTTTTAGCTCCTGTATATGGGTGAGAAATGAGAATATTTGTAATGACTTCCAGTTCCATCCATGTGGCTGCAAATATCAGGATGTTATTCTTTCTATGGATGAGTAGTCTCCGCTGTGCGTATGTACTACATTCTCTCTATCCATTCATCCACTGATGGGCAGGTAGGTTGACTCCACATCTTGGCTACTGTGAAGAGTGCTGCACCAATCATACGAGTGCAGATATCACTTCGATACATTGATTTACTTTCCTTTGGATATAAACCCAGTAGTGAAATTGCTGGATACTATGAAAGTTCTCTTTTTAGTTTTTCGTTTGTTGTTTTGTTTTTGTTTTTGAGACAGTTTCCCTCTGTGCCCAGGCTGGAGTACAAGTGATGTGATCTTGGCTCATTGCAACCTCCGCCTCCTGGGTTCAAATGATTTTCCTGCCTCAGCCTCCCTAGTAGCTGGGATTACAGGTGCACGCCACCATGCCGGGATACTTTTTGGTTTTTTTTAGTGTACATGGGGTTTCCCCAGGTTGGCTAGGCTGCTCTCAAACTCATGACCTCAACTGAGGTGCCCGCCTCGGTCTCCCAAAGTGCCGGGATTACAGGCATGATCCACTTCATCCAACCTCTTTTTAGTTCTTTAAAGGACTTCCATACTTTTCTCCGTAATGGCTGTACTAATTTACACTCCTACCAACAGGGTACCAGGGTTCTCCTTTCTCTACCACCTTGCCAGCATTTGTTTTGCCTGTCTTGCAGCTAAAAGCCATTTTATTTTATTTCATTTTATTTTGAGATGGAGTTTCGCTCTTGTCACCCAGGCTGGAGTGCAGTGGTGCGATCTCGGCTCACCGCAACCTCCACCTCCCAGGTTCAAGCGATTCTCCTGCCTCAGCCTCCCGAGTAGCTGGAATTACAGGCACACGCCACCACGCCCGACTAATTTTTGTATTTTTAGTAGAGACAGCGTTTCTCCATGTGGGTCAGACTGGTCTCAAACTCCCGACCTTATGAGATTCGCCCACCTCGGGCTCTCAGAGTTCTAGGATGACAGACGTGAGCCACCTCGCCCGGCCTAAAAGCCATTTTAATGGGGTGAGATGAAAACTCACTTTGATTTTAATTCGCGTTTCTCTGATGATGAGTGATACTGAGCACTTTTTCGTATGTGGGGAAATTTCATGTCTTTTGCTCCTTTTTCAATTAAATCATTTGTTTTATTGAGTTGTTTGAGCTTCTTATACTTCTAGTTATTAATCCCGTCTCAGATGCATAGTTTGCACATATTTGCTCCCAATCTGTGGGTTGTCTCTTCACTTTGTTGGTTTATTTTTAGCGGTGCAGAAGTTGCTTAGTTTGAGGTAATCCCAATGGTCTATTTTTGCTTCGATTACTTGTGTTTTGAAGGTTTAAAACAAAATGTCTTCCTTCAGACAAATGTACTGGAGCATTTCCCCAATATTTTCTTCTACGTGTTTCACAGGTTCAGGCCTTAGACTCACATCTTTAATCCACTTTCATTTGATTTTTGTGTATGGTGACAGGTAGAGGTGCAGTTTCATTCCTCTGCATGTAGATGTCCAGGTTTCCCTGCACTGTTTATTGAAAAAACTGTCCTTTCCTGATTGTGAGTTCTTGGCACCTTTGTCAAAGTCCATTGGATGGGCTGGGCATGGTGGCTAACACCAGCAACTTCAGCACTTTGGGAGGCCAAGGCTGGTGGATCACCTGAGGACAGGAGTACAAGATTACTCTGGCCGACGTGATGAAACATCGTCTCCACTAAAAATATAAAAATTAGCTGAGCATGGTGGTCAGCACCTGTAATACTACTACTCAGGAGTTTGAGGCAAGAGAATTGATTGAACCCAGGAGGCTGAGGTTGCAGTGAACCGAGATTGCACCTCTGCACTCCAGCCTGGGTGACAGAGCGAGACTCCATCTCAAAAGAAAAAATAAAAAAAATTGGATGTAAATGCATGGATTATATCTGTGTTCTTCATTCTGCTCCGTTGTTCTATGTGCCTTTCTTCATGCCAACATCATGCTGTTTTGCTTACTACAGCTCTGTAACATATTTTGAGATCAGGTAGTGTGATGCTCCTGTTTTCTCTTTATACCTTGAAGTCTCAAGACAGTGGGCGTCACATACAAAAATTATGGAAGAAAGGATCCCTGGACTCCCAGGGCCCAATGTTAGATAACAGAGTGTTGGCCATGAACCAAACTCAAAGATTTCCACTGAGTAGAGGACAGACACCCTCATTTCCTCACCTCTCTCCTGTCTCATGTTCTAGGAAACCCTTCAAATAGTTGGCCTTCACCCACTGAACCAAGCTCCAAAACCGGTGAGTACAGGACCCTCTTATATCCGCTTTTGGAACCCTGGGGAGGTGGAAACCTTGGATTCAGGCGTTGACTCAGCATCTCACAGCTCTGACATTGTACGCCTGTCTTCTACCATCTCCGAACTCCAGATACTCCAACAGCGAAAGGGATCTGGGCCCAACACAGGGCTCAGTGAAATCTCTTCATCTCTCATTTTATGGAGCTGAGACCTCCTACAAGCTAGAAGAATGATTGCCAATCTGACATCCTTCTCAGGAAAAACGCAATGTTTGTTCTGCTTGCATTCCTAACGGGAGGATAAATTCCTGGGGGCTTGAGAGAGGGAAGGGAAGCGAACATCTGATGAGGGCGAGGTGTTTTAGAGAAGTTCCACTTGCCAAGGAATGAGCTCCTGTTGGTCATGAAACAACCCTGGCTGACTCAGCAGAGCAAGAGCCTTGCCGTAACAGAGAACAGAGCTCATGCACGCACACTTTGACTCACTGACTTATTCAGCCACGGCCCCATGCTCAGGTTGTGCAGTGTGGAAGCTTTTCCTATTGTTGCCATAACAAATTTCCACAAGATTCGTGGGTGAAAACAAAACGGTTATTTAATTATCTTACAGTGCTCTAGCTCAAAGCATGAAGTGCATCTCACTGGGCTAAAATCAAGATGACAGCAAGCCTGCCTTCCCTCTGAGGATTCCAGGCAAGAATCTGCTTCTCACTTGTCCCATCTTATAAAGGCTCCCAGTTCCTTGGCTGCTGGTCCCTTTCCTCCTTCCTCAAAACCCACAAAGACTGGTCACATCTCACATGGCATCACTCAGACCCTTCTTCCTTACCACACCTCTTTCTCTGAATGCTGCTCTCCCTTCTTCCTCATCTTTTGAAAACTTGGGGATTCTATTGGGTTCACCAAGATGAAAATCCGTCATAATCTCCCGGAAATCATTCAGGATACCCTTGTTTTAAGTTCAGCTGATTAGCAACCATAATTCCATCTGCAATCTTCATTCCTCCTTTCCATGTAAAATAACATATTCACAAGCTATGGAGGCTAGGACAGGGACATTTTGGGGTGGGACAGCATTCTCCTGCCTTCCACAAATGGTGAACAAGATGCATTTGGCCTCTGCTCTTGGGACACTGATATTGCAGATGGTTAAATGGGAGGACAGAAAATGAATGCACAAGTGGACCAATAAATGAATGATCCATTGGGAAGCATCTGTGCATGAAATCTATTTGTTTCTTTGTTCGTTTGTTTATTGAGACAGAGTCTCCCTCTGTCTTCCAGGCTACAGTGCAGTGTCACGATCTTGGCTCACTGCAACCTGCGTCTCCTGGATCCAGGTGATTCTCCTGCCTCACCCTCTCGAGTAGCTGGGATTACAGGCAACTGCCACCATGCCCGGCTAATTCTTTTTGTATATTTTTTGTAGAGAGGATGTTTCACCATGTTGGCCAAGCTTGTCTGAAACTCCCAACCTCAAGTGATCCGACCATCTCAGCAACCCAAAGTACTGGGATTACAGGCGTGAGCCACTTTGCCCAGCCAGAATTCAAAATAAATAATAGATAATGCTGAGTGTATAATTTTGGGTGACAGAGAAGGTCTCACTAATCAGATATTTGTGACATTAATGAAAAACACGGATTGAACCCCTGAAAGATTGGCGGAAGGATTTTCCACACACAGCTGTCAGCTGTGAAGGCACAAAGGTGAAAACAATCTGATGTTGAAGGAAGAGGCTCTGCCTGAAATGCTGGGAATGAGGTGGGGAGAATGACAAGATGACTGTAGAGAGATGGAGAGCACTCTGGGTACACAGGAAACTAAGGAGGAACAAGGAGTGTGTGTTTGACACTCACAGCCATTGGATTCACCTCGGGGTAACCAGGAATCCCTACATGATTAATAGTGACTGACAAGAAAATAAGGGAGGCCCAGGTGCGTAACTGGAATCTAGGAGACTGTGGAAAAGGCAATTGCCGCCCCACTGGTGAAATGTGGTGCTGATTTAGACACTAAATGAATGAAGTAGATGGATATAAGATATGCTTGTGAGGTAGAATCATTGGCTGGAAAGGCTTGCTGGGTTTGATTTTCCTACTTGTTTAATCCTCGCTTAATTAATTTCTTTCTGAGATTTATTCATCCTACACATAAATCAATACCTGGCAAAGGAGTGACAGATATATGAGGGGTGGTGGAAATGAAGGGACCTATTATAGCATAATATACAAGTCTGTGAACGGTGGCTCATGCTTGTAACCCAGCCCTGCAGGAGGCCAAGGCGGGTGGATTCCATGAAGTCAGGAGTTCCAGACCAGCCTGGCCAACATGGTGAAACCCTATCTGTACTAAAAATACAAAAATTAGCCGAGCATGGTGGTGCATCCCTGTAATCCCAGCTCCTACTCTGGAGGATGAAGCAGGAGAATGACTTCAACCCAGGAGGTGGAGGTTGCAGTGAGTGGAGATTGCATCACTGCACTCCAGCCTGGGTGACACAAGGAGACTCCGTCTCAAAAAATAAAAATAAGAAATGCATAAATATAATAAAACACACACGAATGACAAAGGCACCTGAATTCCAATCATCATTTTTCTATTTCTCTATAATTACTTCTTTGATCCTTTATCTTATCCATTAGGCAATGAGCCTAAAACCTCTTCCCTATTTGGCTTTCTGTGAGCATGAGATCACATAGAAAATGTGAAAGCCCGCTGAATCCTCCAGCACGGATCCTGGAATAGAGAAAGTGCTCTGGTCATCGCAAAAAAAAACTTGCCCACTCACCCAAATCGCCCACCTCACCCCTACTTCCAATCACCTGTGGAGATTCAGATAGACCATGGGGAGGAAACATTAATATTCCTTGGAGTGAGTCCAGATCTTGGAATCAGAGATCAGCGACAGCACTAGCTCCTGTTCCCCTTTCCTACTAATTCACAGGAGGACAGGTGGTATTGAAGCAATAGATGGTGGAGGGGGTGGTCCTTCCCCCAGCCTCTCGGGTAGAACAGCAGCCTAACATGTGTCTCCCGAGATCACAAAGAGCAGCACATTTCACACGGGCTTCAACACTATTTTCTGGCTGTTTGACATAAGAGAATCTTGCTTCGCTATTTTTAATCGTGATTTCACCTTTGTTTCCTTTCCTTGGTGAATGCAATTTGTTTGACTCAAGAATGCTGTGGATGTAGAAATCCTAAAGCACATTCGCTGTGTATCAATCCCAGTGCAGTCTTCCCAGAGAAGACTCTAAACAAATCCTGGACTGCACCTGGGCCTATGCCAATTCCTATCACTCACCGTCACTCCAGGGAGACAGAACACACAGAGGATACGTTACATAGGCAGGTTCATTACTAACAGATAAGCAGCGAGTGACAACAGAAGCCTGCATTTCAATGTGAGCCAGTCCCTCAAGGCTCAGAAAAGCTGCTCGGGACATATGGAGTCACCCCATTTGCAGTGTAACTGGGGGAAGCCAGAAAGCAGCCCAGCCTGGGTTTTGTACCCTGGAGCCACAGGAAGCACTCAGCTAAAGCACTGCATGACGTCCTCCTCCAGGAAGAACAGGAAGACAGCCCAGGCTGTTCTGAGACATTCCTCCTGATCTCAGGATGTTGCTATCTTAGTCCATTTTTGTTGCTCTAAAGGAACACTTGAGCCTCGGTAACTTCTAAAGAAAAGAGATTGGTTTGCCTCACCGTTCTGCAGGCTGTACTGGAAGCATGGCACCAGCATCTATTTCTCGTGACGGCCTCAGGCTGCTCCCACTCTGGCAGAAGGGAAGGAGGGTCTGTCTGTGCAGAGACCGCAGAGATCACACGGCAAGAGAGAGAGTAAGGGGGAGAGGGAGCGATGGAGCTTCCAAGCTCTTTTTAACAACCAGCTCTCCAGGAACTAACAGAGGGGGAACTTGCTAACCCCGTCTCCTTGGGACAGCATTGATCTGTTCATGATGGATCCACCTCCATGACCCAAACACCTCTGAAGAGGCCCAACCTCCCACAATGGGGGTGAAATTTCAATGTGAGGTTTGAAAGGGTCAAACATCTCAACTAAAGTAGTTGTATCCTCAGCACGTTCTATGGTTACTATGAGAGCTATAATTGAGAAAGCAGGGGAAAGCTAGGTCTCCCGCCATTTGGGTGCTTGTCCTAAAGAGACGTTGTATGTGGTTACCTGCCAATCAAGAAATGCGAGACAATTCATAAAGAGGAACTGCTATGATTAGCTTCTTATTGGTGTCTCCTCTTCTTCCAGGTAACCCCAGACACCTACATGTTCTGATTGGGACCTCAGTGGTCAAAATCCCTTTCACCATCCTCCTCTTCTTTCTCCTTCATCGCTGGTGCTCCGACAAAAAAAGTAAGTCTCACGAAGCAGAGGCCAGAGAGCTCAGGGCCATGTGGGGAAGCAGGATGGGAGCACGCGGATGTGTGTTCCTCACCAGCAGGATGGTCCCTGGCCCAAGACAGGAGCCACAGAGGCAGGACTTTCTAGAGAGAGCACCAGATTCCCTTCCCCTGCCTTCAGCTCACAGACCATTGCCTGATTCTGAACTGTATCCTCACGTCCCCTGCAGCCACTCACATCCAGGAGAAGGTTCCATGACAGGCAGAAAGTGGGAGATAGAATCAATGGGATGGGAACTCAGAGCTATTCATGGGATGGGTCCTTGAACTCAGAGAGATAGAATGTCTGAGTCTGCTGTTGGCAACTGAGGGACCTCAGGCACCTATGGCCTCCCCCTGTTTGTTGGTATCTGCTTATGAAATGAGGACCCAGAAGTGCCCTCCGAGCTCTTTTGTTGACTTCCGTCTTCTACAGATGCTGCTGTAATGGACCAAGAGCCTGCAGGGAACAGAACAGTGAACAGCGAGGTAGGTGCTCCTCGGCCCAGCCTCGTGGCTAGTCTTATTCCCAAAGAGTCCTGAAAAATGTGAGCACCCTCCCTCACTCAGCATTTCCCTCTCTCCAGGATTCTGATGAACAAGACCATCAGGAGGTGTCATACGCATAATTGGATCACTGTGTTTTCACACAGAGAAAAATCACTCACCCTTCTGAGAGGCCCAAGACACCCCCAACAGATACCAGCATGTACATAGAACTTCCAAATGCTGAGCCCAGATCCAAAGTTGTCTTCTGTCCACGAGCACCACAGTCAGGCCTTGAGGGGATCTTCTAGGGAGACAACAGCCCTGTCTCAAAACCGGGTTGCCAGCTCCCATGTACCAGCAGCTGGAATCTGAAGGCATCAGTCTTCATCTTAGGGCATCGCTCTTCCTCACACCACGAATCTGAACATGCCTCTCTCTTGCTTACAAATGTCTAAGGTCCCCACTGCCTGCTGGAGAGAAAACACACTCCTTTGCTTAGCCCACAATTCTCCATTTCACTTGACCCCTGCCCACCTCTCCAACCTAACTGGCTTACTTCCTAGTCTACCTGAGGCTGCAATCACACTGAGGAACTCACAATTCCAAACATACAAGAGGCTCCCTCTTAACACAGCACTTAGACACGTGCTGTTCCACCTCCCTTCAGACTATCTTTCAGCCTTCTGCCAGCAGTAAAACTTATAAATTTTTTAAATAATTTCAATGTAGTTTTCCCGCCTTCAAATAAACATGTCTGCCCTCATGGTTTCGGTAACGAGACTCTTTTCTTGCCTAAGGCTTCCGGTGTTATCATTACCATGTCCACATAACCCCATCTGTTCTCCATTGGGTTCTCAGCCCTGGACTCTGAGCTTCTGGAAGCAGAATGTAGCCTGATTTGTCTCTGAGACTCCAATTTCCATCCAAAGATACAGCACATAGGAGGCTCCAAGGATCGTGAATCACATGAACAAGTGATATTCTTACTCTCTGCAGACCTGGAAAGCTGGCAGAGTCATTCCACGATGAAACATTTGTAGAGACATAGGCCTTGTTAGTCTCATCTCCACGGGGACACATATCAACATATCAACTTTCATAATATAAATATACAGTCGGTCCTCCATATCTGTGGGGTTTACAGGTGTTTATTGAACCAACAATAAATCAAAAATATTTTCAGAAAAAAATCCCCGAAGTTTCAAGAAGCAAAAAACTATGTTGAATCGACACAAATTGAGTGGCGTGTAGGCTGTGTCAGGAATTATAAGTAATCAAGAGATGATTTCATGTATACAGGAGGATGTGCATGGGTTCTATGCAATTGCTATGCTATTTTTTTTTTTTTTTGAGACAGTCTCACTCTCTCACCCAGGCTGGAGTGCAGTGGCATGATCTCAGCTCACTGCAACCTCTGCCTCCCAGGTTCAAGCGATTGTCTTCCCTCAGCCTCCCCAGTAGCCTCCCCTAGGATTACAGGCACGTGCCACCATGCACAGATAAATTTTTTTGTGTGTGTATTTTTAGTAGAGACGGGGTTTCAGAATGTTGGACCAGCTGGTCTTGAACTCCTGACCTCGTGATCTACCCAACTCAGCCTCCCAAAGTGCTGGGATTACAGGCGTGAGCCACGGTGCCCAGCTTCGCTATGCCATTTCATGCAAGGGGCTTGAGCATCTGCAGATTTTGGTATCTGAATGGGGATCCTGGAACCAATCACCCAGGAATAGTGAAGGACCACAGTATATAATTTTTATTTGTCAATCTTAAAAATAAAGCATAAAAAGTTTACAACAACAAGATAAAAAATAAGAAGTGTTTTTATAGTGTGAGGATAAGTTTAGATTTATTTTTTCCTACGTGTAACCCTATGGTCCTGTGTTATTTATTGAGAAAATATTCTATTCCACCTTAAACTACATGGCAGCCTTTGTCAACTATAAAGGGACTGTGTATCCACAGATGTATTTTAGACACAGTTTTCTGCCCAGTGGTTCTCTGTATCCCCTCTCATGAGGATGCTGCATTTCATATAAACTTATAGAACCCCTTAAAATTTGGTAACCTGAGTTCTCTGATTTGTTATTATAGGTTATTTAGTTTGCTTTTTTTTTCTTTCTTGAGACAGACTCTTCCTCTGTCACCCAAGCTGGAGTTCAGTGGCTTGAGCTCAGCTCACTGCAGCCTCCGCCTCCCAGGTTCAAGCAATTCTCGTGCCTCAGGTTTAGTACTAGAAACTCATCAGGAAAATTAGAATGGCTTTTTGTCACAATTACTCTGATAATGTTAATAATACCTCTTAGATATTTTGCACATTACACATGAAGAAAAGTTTGAATCTCAGATAAAAACAAAAATACATCAAAAGTCTTTAATGTAAGCACAGAATTCAATCACCTCATGTGTGAGAGGTTGGATCTGAGACGTCTTTTGAGTCTGGTCATAGTGAAGGATGCAAGGTGGCAATTGTAGTCACAACAATTTCCAGGAAGCCATGTTCCGCTCTTGAGCGAGCACCCACTGGGCCTCATGCAAGGTAGAAAGAGCCTGCGTACGTCACCCTCCCATGATGTGGTCAACATGTAAACTGCATGGGCAGGGCGCCAAATAACATCCTGTGCGCTGCTGAGCTGAGCTGGGGCGCGGCCTCCTGTCTGCACCGGCAGCACCATGTCGCTCACTGTCGTCAGCATGGCGTGCGTTGGTGAGTCCTGGAAGGGAATAGAGGGAGGGAGAGTGGGGATGGAGATCTCGGCCTAGAGGTAAAGATATGGGCCTGGAGTGGAGATATGGGCCTGGAGTGGAGATATGGGCCTGGGTGTGGAGATATGGGCCTGGAGGTGTAAATATGGGCCTGGAGTGCAGATATGGGCCTGGAGGGGAGATATGGGCCTGGGTGTGGAGATATGGGCCTGGAGTGGAGATACGGGCCTGGAGTGGAGATATGGGCCTGGAGTGGAGATATGGGCCTGCAGGTGGAGATCTGGGCCTGGAGTGGAGATATGGGCCTGGAGTGGAGATATGGGTCTGATGTGGAGATATGGGCCTGGAGTGGAGATATGGGCCTGGAGTGGAGATATGGGCCTAGAGGGGAGATCTGGGCCTGGAGTGGAGATATGGGTCTGATGTGGAGATATGGGCCTGGAGTGGAGATAGGGGCCTGGAGTGGAGATAGGGGCCTGGAGTGGAGATATGGGCCTGGAGTGGAGATCTGGGCCAGGAAGTGTTGATCTGGGCCTGGAGCCTGGGTCTCTCCACAGCTGAGAGCCCTGTTCTTGGCAGCAGGTAGCAGGGAGGCTAAGTTTACCTTCAGCCCAGCAAGGGCCTGGCTGCCAAGACACACAGTGCAGTGGGGGCAGCAGGGTGCCCTGGTTTGCCTGCAGTTGGATCGTCTATCATGATCTTTCTTTCCAGGGTTCTTCTTGCTGCAGGGGGCCTGGCCACTCATGGGTGAGTCCTTCCCCAAACCTTAGGGTGTCATCTCCCCACATAAGAGGATTTTTCTGAAACAGGAGGGAAGTCCTGTCGGGGAGTCTCTCATAAACTAGGAAGAGGGGACCCTTGGATACTCGGCCCACATTTCTGACCTCGCCCTCCCCGGCCTTTCTTTCCCTTTCCTGAGTCAAGCTCTGTGAAGACTGGGGTGAGACTGGGGTGCTCCAAGCTGGGGTGTGCAGGGAGGAAGTGGTGTCAGCAGCAGAGAAAGAGAGGGAAGCAGTGCTAGGAACAGCAGGTCCTCTGAGGACAAAGGTATAACTGACACCCTCCAGCGTTTCCGTGACGGTAGGGGCTGCAGTGTGGCTGCGGTCTTTCTACCAGAAGAGGGGGGAAACCACAGCCATGGCCCTGACATTCCAAATCCTCTGAGGGGGCTCAGTTCATGAATTGGCTGATATTCCATTCACATAGGACATGCCCTCCATGCCGTGTCTACTTTGTGTTGTTTTATGTGAGTAATTTTGCAGTATTAAAATCTAGTAAGAGTCACTTATTCAGCACTTGCTCAAAGTTCTCAGCTGACACTTGTTGTAGGGAGACGCCATGTCTATGTGGGGTGGGTCCTTCCTGTAGCCCTGGGCACCCAGGTGTGGTAGGAGCCTTAGAAAGCGGAAATGGGAGAATCTTCTGAGCACAGGGAGGGAGGGGCGGCTCCACATCCTCCTCTCTAAGGCAGTGCCTCCTTCTCCCCCAGGTGGTCAGGACAAACCCTTCCTGTCTGCCTGGCCCAGCACTGTGGTGCCTCGAGGAGGACACGTGGCTCTTCAGTGTCACTATCGTCGTGGGTTTAACAATTTCATGCTGTACAAAGAAGACAGAAGCCACGTTCCCATCTTCCACGGCAGAATATTCCAGGAGAGCTTCATCATGGGCCCTGTGACCCCAGCACATGCAGGGACCTACAGATGTCGGGGTTCACGCCCACACTCCCTCACTGGGTGGTCGGCACCCAGCAACCCCCTGGTGATCATGGTCACAGGTCAGAGGCTTTCTGTCTGGGCTTCTCACTGTCCCACCTCCTGAATCCCAGAGCTTCTGGTGGGGGTGTCCATCAGGGTCCCATCACCCAGGCCCCAACTGTATTTGGGGTCAAGGGGGATTGAATACAGGGGAAATGGGCGCTGTGGTGGGAAGAATCACTGTCGCCAATGATGGCTACATTGTAAACCCTGGAGCCTGTGACTATTTATGTTATAGGGCAGGGGACTGAAGGGGAAGGTGGAGCTCAGGTTGTTGATGAGTTGACCTTGAGATGGGGAGACAGCCTGGACTGTCCTGCTGGGCTCAGTGTAATCACAAGGGTCCGCGTGAGAGGTGGAGGAAGAGGGGAGTGGGGATTAGAGCAGTGTAGTGGGAGGGAGACGCTATCAGCCACTGTGGGCTTTGAAGGTGGAGGAAGGCCACTAGTCACAGAATGCAGGTGGCCTCTAAGGGCTGGAGAAGTCAAGAGAACTGATTCGCTGATTCTCCAGAGGGAACGCAGCCCTGCAGATGCCTTGATTTCAGCACAGGGAGAACTGGATCCAATTTCTGTCCCCAGAAGTGGAAGGGGTCAGTGTGTTCTCTCCTGCTGCCATGTTTGTGATAATTTTCTGCAGCAGCAACAGGAAACCGACACAGGAACCCAGGTCAAGGACAAGCTAGGAAACCAAACAAGGATAGCCAGGTGTGGTGGTGGGCACGAGTAATCCAACGACTGGGGAGGCTGAGGCAAGATAATCACTTGAACCGGGGAGGCAGAGGTTGCAGTGAGCCAAGACAACACCACTGCACTCCAGCCTGGGTGAAAAAGTGACTGTCTCAAAAATAAATTAATTAATCAATTAATTAAAGAAACCAAACAAGGAGAAGGTTGGCTACCGTGGGATCAGCAAGGGTGGGATGCTGATGCCACCACCAGGCTCCATCCACATAGGAAGGGGTTGATGCTCCTGGAACCAGCACCAGGGACCACCCTATGGAAGCTGGGGCCATGGAGAAGGCACAGACATGGCAGGAGAGGCTCCCAATCCCCATCAGGAACAGGGTGTGTGGACACTGATGTCTGCCTTACTGATGAGTTGATACCTCTGCCAGAGACTCCAATTTGTTCAAAAGAGATTGATTCAGGCTGCTGAGAGCCTGGACATGCAGCCTGTCCTCTTCCACCCCCACATAGACAGCAGGAAAGAGACTAGTGGGAAAGAGATACAACAGCCCAAGAGATGAGGCTCTCTTCACAGTGGGAAGGGAGTCAGGGGCTACTGGAGACAGAGGGACAGAGAAGAGGGAGGAAGACAAATGGAGGGACCTGCACCAGGGGATATGGGCACAGAAAAGACACGGAGACACAGAGAGGGAGGAGAGAGACAGACCTCTGGGAGGGGAACCCTCACTCATTCCAGGTGCCATGGATGGGATGATAAAGAGAGATGCCTTCTAAACTCACAACTTCTCTTTCTAGGAAACCACAGAAAACCTTCCCTCCTGGCCCACCCAGGGCCCCTGCTGAAATCAGGAGAGACAGTCATCCTGCAATGTTGGTCAGATGTCATGTTTGAGCACTTCTTTCTGCACAGAGAGGGGATCTCTGAGGACCCCTCACGCCTCGTTGGACAGATCCATGATGGGGTCTCCAAGGCCAACTTCTCCATCGGTCCCTTGATGCCTGTCCTTGCAGGAACCTACAGATGTTATGGTTCTGTTCCTCACTCCCCCTATCAGTTGTCAGCTCCCAGTGACCCCCTGGACATCGTGATCACAGGTGAGAGTGTCCAGACATTCTTCTCATTGTCATTGGGACACAGAGTGAATGATCCAGGACTTGGAACCCCCAGGTGGTCATGAGGAAGATAAGCGTGGGATTCTTATGGAGAGAGACTGACTCGGTGAGGTCTGTACCAACAGAGACAGGGAAACAGGAGACATAAGTACAGACCAGGTGTCATAACAGAGGACAGACACAGGGGCCATACGGGGAAGTAGAAAAGAGAGAAAGAGGTAAAGGAGACACTCAGACAGACAGACATGTGCCAGAGAGAAGTGTCCTTCCATGCTGACTTTGCTCAGAGACCTGGCACAGGTTAGAAGTTTCATTTCTGTTTTGTCTCCACAAAGTGCTTCTACGAGGAGAACCCAAGGACACCCATATTTCTGACCTGAGTTGGGCCCTGTGGCCTCAGGCCTTGTGGCATCTACAGATGCCATGTTTATTCTGACACCTCTGCCTTCCATGCAGTGGAGCCATAATTATCCCAGGATATCATGGCCCCAGAACACCAACCCCTAAATACTGTGTGTACTTGGTGTCCCCAGACTAGATTCTGAGGCTCATATTCCAAATAATCCTACATATAATAGGATCACTGAGAGACACAGAGATAAATCAGGGACTTCAAAAAGCAAAGGCATAAACACACAGAGAATGAGCCAGAGGAAGGGGATTGAGAGACTCACAGACACACAAAAAGAAAGAAAAGAGGGCAGAGGAGTGGAGAGAATGCTGGAAGGGAGGAGAGAAAAGCCCCAAAATCAGAACCCTGAGGGAGGGGCACAAAGACAGAGAAAGATAAAGATGTGGGGATGGATTGCAGAGATTCCAAATAGAACTAGAGAGACTGAGAGGCAGAGAAAGACAAGGAGATGGAGAGAGACAGATGATAGATGGATAGATAGATATAGATAGATGATAAATAGGTAGATGATAGATAATGGATAGGTTATAGATACATAGATGATGATTGATAGATGATACATAGAGATGATGATGATGATGATGATGAAGATAGATAGAAGACACATATATAAATATATAGATACATAGATGATACATAGAGACTGACAGGCAGACAGAGAGGTAATAGAGAGAGAGAGAGATGATACATAGATACAGATAATACATAGATGATTGATGGATAGACAGATAGACAATTGATAGATAAATGATACATAGATATAGATGACAGATAATTTGTAGATAGACACAAAATAGATAGATAGATAATAGATAGAAATATGCAGAAAGTTATGAACAAGACAGAAAGTGAGAGACTCAGAATTATAGAAAAAGGAAGATCAAGTCAACCAATCCAAGGAGAGTCAGAGAGAATAAAACAATCCAAAAAGGGAAAGCATACCCAGGGGTGGGGAAGTGAGGTCAGAGACCTAGAGAGACAGAGAAGGCGGAAGGAGGAAATAGACATGAAGAGAGTTGGGGTGGAGGGTGAGAGAGAGAGAGAGCATTAGGTCATAGAGCAGGGGAGTGAGTTCTCAGCTCAGGTATGAGGGGAGCTGTGACAAGGAAGAACCTCCCTGAGGAAACTGCCTCTTCTCCTTCCAGGTCTATATGAGAAACCTTCTCTCTCAGCCCAGCCGGGCCCCACGGTTCAGGCAGGAGAGAACGTGACCTTGTCCTGTAGCTCCTGGAGCTCCTATGACATCTACCATCTGTCCAGGGAAGGGGAGGCCCATGAACGTAGGCTCCGTGCAGTGCCCAAGGTCAACAGAACATTCCAGGCAGACTTTCCTCTGGGCCCTGCCACCCACGGAGGGACCTACAGATGCTTCGGCTCTTTCCGTGCCCTGCCCTGCGTGTGGTCAAACTCAAGTGACCCACTGCTTGTTTCTGTCACAGGTGAGGAAAACCCGTGTCTGTCCCATGTCTTATGATCCTAGAGCCATAGCTGAGGAGCTTCCTGCCGATGATGGGGAGAAGCATGGACAGATGCAGAGAGAACACGAAGACTGGGTGTGAGGGGGGGTCAGGGTGCAGGATGGCAGACAGGGCACCTCCAAACCCTCTTGCATGGCCTGCATGGAGGCCCATGGTCAGGGCTCCAGGCACCCAGGCAGATGGAGAAAGCGGTCAGGACAGACCCAGAGAAGGGGAGACTGGGCTCAGTTTGGGGAGATCAGAGGTTCCCTCAGCCCCTCAACCTTACCCATTTCCCAGAAGCCCATCCTGGCCTCTCACCCACACAGAGAGATGTCATCACCAGCAACCCCTACACTCTTTTCTTTTCATTTTCAAAAATATTTATTGAGGTTAAATGTAACTATATAATTTACCAACTTTACCATTTTTAAAAGTAAAATCTAGTGGTCATAAATACCTTTATATGCTGGGTGTGGTGGTTCACGGTTGTAATCTTGGCGCTTTGAGAGGCCAAGAAAGGTGGATCATTTAAGATCAGGGACTCGAGATCAGCCTGGCCAACATGCGGGAAATTCATCTTTACTAAACAGACAAGAAAAATTAGCCAAGCATGCCGGCATGCACCTGTAGTCCTAGCTACTTGGGAGGCTGAGGCAGGAGAAGCACTTAAAGCCAGGAGGCAGAGGTTGCACTGAGCCGAGATCATGCCACTGCACTGCAGCCTGGGAGACAGAGAGAGACTCTGTTTCTAAATAAATAAATACATCTATATTCTTTTTTTTGTTACCTTCCACCCTTCCCTTCCTGGCCTCTGGTATCCACCATTCTATTCTCTACCTTCATGAGATCCACCTTTTATCTCCTGCATGTGGTGAGAAATGGGAATCTTTGTAATGACCTCCAGTTCCATCCATGTGGCTGCAAATGACAGGATGTTATTGTTTCTATGGATGAGTAGTCTCCACCGTGTGTGTGTACTACAGTTCTCTATCCATTCACCCACTGATAGGCAGGTAGGTTGACTCCACATCTTGGCTACTGTGAACAGTGCTGGAACAGTCATATGAGTGCAGATATCACTTCGATACACTGATGTCCTTTCCTTTGGATATAAACCCAGTAGTGAAATTGCTGGACACTATGAAAGTTCTCTTTTTTTTTTTTTCTTTTTTGAGAAAGAGTTTCCCTCCTTAGTCCAAGCTGGAGTCAAAGTGGTGCGATCTTGGCTCATTGCAACCTCTGCTTCCTAGGTTCAAACGATTCTCCTGACTCAGCCTCCCTAATAGCTGTGATTACAGGTGCACGCCACCATGCCTGACTAATTCTTGTATTTTTTAGCACAGACGGGATATCCCAATTTTGGGCAGGCTGCTCTCAAACTCCTGACCTCAAGTGAGGTGCCTGCCTCGGTTTCCCAAAGTGCTGAAGTTACAGGCATAAGCCACTATGCCCAGCCTCCTTTTAGTTTTTTAAAGATTTTCCATACTTTTCTCCATAATAGTTGTACTAATTTACATTCCTACCAACAGGGTACCAGGGTTCTCCTTTCTCTACCATCTTGCCAGCATTTGTTTTGCCTGTCTTGCAGATAAAAGCCATTTTACTTTACTTTATTTATTTATTTATTTATGTTGAGATGGAGTTTCACTCATAGTCGCCCAGGCTGGAGTGCAAGGGTGTGATCTCGGCTCACTGCAACCTCTGCCTCCCGCGTTCAACTGATTCTCCTGCCTCAGCCTCCAAAGTAGCTGGGATTACAGGCATGTGCCACCACGCCTAGCTAATTTTTGTATGTTTAGTAGAGAGGGAGTTTCTCCATGTTGGTCAGGCTGGTCTCCCGACCTCAGGTGATCCGCCCACCTCCGCCTCCCAAAGTGCTGGAATTACAGGCGTGAGCCACCGGCCTAAAAGGCATTTTAATGGGATGAGATGAAAACTCATCGCGATTGTAATTTACATTTCTGTGATGATGAGTGATGCTGAGCACTTTTTCATATACGTGATCGCCATTTCTATGTTTTGTTTGTGGAGAAATGTCTCCTCATGTCTTTTGCTCGTTTTTTAATTAAATTGTTTTATTGAGTTGTTTGAGCTTCTTATATTTCCAGTTATTAATCCCATCTCAGATGAATAGTTTGCAAATATTTGCTCCTATTTTGTGGGTTGTCTCTTCACTTTGTTGGTTTATCTTTGGTGGTGCAGAAGTTGCTTGGTTTGATGTAATCCTAATGGTCTATTTTTTGCTTTGATTACTTGTGTTTTGAAGGTTTTAAACAAAATGTCTTTCGTCAGACAAATGTCTTCCCCATTATTTTCTTCTACATGTTTCATAGGTTCAGGCCTTAGACTCATGTTTTTAATCCATTTTCATTTGATTTTTGTGTAAGGTGACAGGTATAGATGCAGTTTTATTCCTCTGCATGTAGATATCCAGTTTTCCCCACACCATTTATTGAAGACTGTCCTTTCCTGATTGTAAGTTCTCGGCACCTTTGTCAAAGTCCATTAAATGGGCTGGGTATGGTGGCTCACACCTGCAATTCCAGCACTTTGGGAGGCCGAGGCGGGTGGATCACCTAAAGCCAGGAGTTCAAGACCAGGCTGGCCAACAGAGTGAAACCTCGTCTCTACTAAAAATACAAAAATTAGCTGAGCATGGTGATCAGTGCCTGTAATACCACTACTCAGGAGTTTGAAGCAAGAGAATTTCTTGAATCCAGGAAGTGGAGGTTGCATTGAGCTGAGATTGCACCTCTACACTCCAGCCTGCATGACAGAGCAAGATTCTATCACACACACACAAAAGAAAGCCATTGGATGTAAATGCATGGATTATATCTGTGTTCTCCATTCTGTTCCATTTTTTATGTGCCTTTCTTTATGCCAATGTCATGCTGTTTTGCTTACTACAGCTCTGTAACATATTTCTAAGTCAGGTAGTGTGATGCTCCTGTTTTCTCTTTATACCTTCAAGTCTCAAGACAGTGGGCATCGCACACAAAAATTATGGAGAAAAGGATCCCAAGACTCCCAGGGTCCAACATTAGATAACAGAGTGTTGGCCATGAACCAACCTCAAAGATTTCCATTGAGTAGAGGACAAGCACCCTCATTTCCTCACATCTCTCCTGTCCCGTGTTCTAGGAAACCCTTCAAGTAGTTGGCCTTCACCCACAGAACCAAGCTCCAAATCTGGTGAGTAAAGGACCCCTCTTATCTCTGCTTTTGGAAACCTGGGGAGGTGGAAGCCTTGGATGCAAGTGTTGGCTCAAACCTCCCAGCTCTGTGAATGAGGGCCTGTCTTCCACCATCTCTGAACTCCAGACACTCCAACAGTGAAAGGGATCTAGGGCCACCAAAGGGCTCAGCGAAGTCTCTTTACCTTTAATTTCCTGCAGGTGAGACCTCCTACAAGCTAGAAGAATAATTGCCAATCTGACATCCTTCTCAGGAAAAATGCAGTGTTTTTTCTGCCTGCATTCCTAACTGGAGGATAAATTCCCGGGGGCTTGAGAGAGGGAAGGGAAGGGAACATCTGATGAGGGTGGGTGTTTTAGAGAAGTTCCACTTGCCAAGGAATGAATTACTGTTGGTCATCAGGCAACCCTGGCTGACTCAGCAGAGCAAGAGCCTTGCCGTAACAGAGAACAGAGCTCATGCACGCACACTTCGACTCAGTGACTCATTCAGCCACAGCCCCATGCTCAGGCTGTGCAGTGTGGAAGCTTTTCCTATTGTTGCCATAACAAATTTCCACAAGATTCGTGTGTGAAAACAAAACGGTTATTTAATTATCTTACAGTGCTGTAGCTCAAAGCATGACGTGCATGTCACTGGGCTAAAATCAAGGTGACAGCAAGGCTGCCTTCCCTCTGAGGGTTCCAGGCAAGAATCTGCTTCTCACTTTTCTCAGCTTCTAGAGGCTCCCATGTTCCTTGGCTCCTGGTACCCTTCCTCCTTCCTCAAAGCCCACAAAGACTGGTCACATCTCACATGGCATCACTCAGACCCTTCTTCCTTACCACACCTCTTTCTCTGAATGCTGCTCTCCCTTCTTGCCCTTCTTTTGAAAACTTGGGGATTCTATTGGGTTCACCAAGATGAAAATCCATCATAATCTCCCGGAAATCATCCAGGATACCCTCCTTTTAAGTTCAGCTGACTAGCAACCATAATTCCATCTGCAATCTTCATTCCTCCTTTCATGTAAAATAACATATTCACAAGCTATGGAGGCTAGGACATGGACATTTTTGGGGTGGGACAACATTCTCCTGCCTTCCACAAACAGTGAACAAGATGCATTTGGCCTCTGTTCTTGGGACACTGATCTTGCAGATGGTTAAATGGGAGGGCAGAAAATGTAGGCACAAGGGGACCAATAAATGAATGATCTATTGAGAAGCATCTGTGCATGAAATCTATTTATTTATGTATTTACCTACTTGTTTATTGAGACGGAGCCTTGCTCTGTCGTCCAGGCTAGAGTGCGGTGGCATGATCTCGGCTCACTGCAACCTCCACCTCCTGGGCTGAACTGATCTCCTCCCTCAGCCTCTCCAGTAGCTGGGATTACAGACCACAACCACCACGCCCGGCTAACTCTTTTTGCATATTTTCTGTAGAGAGGATGTTTCACCATGTTGGCCAGGCTGGTCTCAAATTCCCAACCTCAGGTGATCCAATAGCCTCTGCCTCCCAACACGCTGGGATAAGAGGCATGAGCCACGGGGCCAAGCCAAATTTTCAAATCAATAATAGATAATGCTGAGAGTATTATTTCAGGTGACAGAGAAGTTCTCACTAATCAGATATTTGTGACATTAATGAAAAACACGGATTGAACCCCTGAAAGATTGGCGGAAGGATTTTGCACACACAGCTGTCAGCCGTGAAGGCACAAAGGTGAAAACAATCTGATGTGGAAGGAAGAGGCTCTGCCTGAAATGCTGGGAATGAGGTGGGGAGAATGACAAGATGACTGTAGAGAGACGGAGAGCACACTGGGTACACAGGAAACTAAGGAGCAACAAGGAGCGTGTGTTTGACACTCACAGCCATTGGATTCACCTCGAGGTAACCAGGAATCCCTACATGATTAATATGACTGACATGAAAATAAGGGAGGCTCAGTTGCATAACTGGAATCTAGGAGACCGTGGAAAAGGCAATTGCCGCCCCACTGGTGAAATGTGGTGCTGATTTAGACACTAAATGAATGAAGTAGATGGATATAAGATATGTTTGTGAGGTAGAATCATTGGCTGGAAAGGCTTGCTGGGTTTAATTTTTCCTGGTAGTTTAATCCTCGCTTCACTAACTTATTTCTGAGATTTATTTCTCCTGCATCTAAATCAATACCTGGCAGAGGAGGGAGAGCTAGATGAGGGGTGGTGCAAATGAAGGGACCTAGTATAGCATAATATACAAGGCTGTGAACGGTGGCTCACGCCTATAACCCAGCACTTCAGGAGGCCAACGCGGGTGGATCACATGAAGTCAGGAGTTCGAGACCAGCCTGGCCAACATGGAGAAACCCTATCTCTACTAAAAATACAAAAATTAAACAGGCATGATGGTGGTGCATGACTGTAATCCCAGCTACTCTGGAGGAGGAAGCAGGAGAATGACTTCAGCCCTGGAGGCAGAGGTTGCAGTGAGTGGAGATCGCATCACTGCACACCAGCCTGGGCTACACAGGGATACTCTGTCTCAAAAAATAAAAATAAAAAATACATAAATATAATAATATACACAAATGATGCAGGCACCTGAATTCCAATCATCATTTTTCTATTCCTCTATAATTACTTCTTTGATCCTTTATCTTATCCATTAGAAAATCAGCCTAAAACCTCTTCCATATTTGGCTTTCTGTGAACATGAGATCATATGGAAAATATGAAAGCCCCCTGAACCCACCAGCACAGGCCCTGAAATAGGGAAAGTGCTCTGTTCATCACAAGAAACTTTCCCCCTCACCCAAATCCCCCACCTCACCCCTACTTCCAATCACCTGTGGAGATACAGATAGATCATGGGGAGGTAAACGCTAATACTCCTTGGAGTGAGTTCAGATCTTGGAATCAGAGATCAGCACCAGCACTAGCTCCTGCTCCCCTTTCCTACTAATTCACAGGAGGACAGGTGGTTTTGAAGCAATAGATGGTGGAGGGGGTGGTCTTTCCCCCAGCCTCTCAGGTGGAACAGCAGCCTAACATGTGTCTCGCGAGATCACAAAGAGTAGCACGTTTCACATGGGCTTCATCATTATTTCCTGGCTGTTTGACATAAGAGAATTCTACTTTGCTTTTTTGATCTTGATTTCACTTTTGTGTCCTTTTCTTGGAGAATGTAATTTGAGTCAAGAGGGTTGTGGATGTAGAAACTGTAAAGCACATTCACTGTGTATCAATCCCAGTCCAGTCTTTCCAGAGAAGACTCTAAACACCTGCTGTACTGCACCTGGGCCTATGCCAATTTCTATCACTCACCGTCACTCCAGGGAGACAGAACACACAGAGAATACGTTACATAGGCAGGTTCATTACTAACAGATAAGCAGCGAGTGACAACAGAAGCCTACATTTCAACGTGAGCCAGTCCCTCAAGGCTCAGAAAAGCTGCTCGGGACATATGGAGTCACCTCATTTGCAGTGTATCTGGGGGAAGCCAGAAAATAGCCCAGCCTGGGTTTTGTACCCTGAAGCCACAGGAAGCACTCAGCTAAAGCACTGCATGACGTCCTCCTCCAGGAAGAACAGGAAGACAGCACAGGCTGTTCTGAGACGTTCCTCCTGATCTCAGGACGTTGCTGTCTTAGTCCATTTTTGTTGCTATAAAAGAACACTTGAGCCTGGGTTACTTCTTTTTTTTTTTTTTTTTTTTTTTGTATAGTGCTTCTGATGAGCTTTTTTTTAAAATTTTTATTATTATTATACTTTAAGTTTTAGGGTACATGTGCACAATGTGCAGGTTAGTTACATATGTATACATGTGCCATGCTGGTGTGCTGCACCCATCAACTCGTCATTTAGCATTAGGTATATCTCCTAATGCTATCCCTCCCCCCTCCCCCCACCCCACAACAGTCCCCAGAGTGTGATGTTCCCCTTCCTGTGTCCATGTGTTCTCATTGTTCAATTCCCACCTATAAGTGAGAACATGCGGTGTTTGGATTTTTGTCCTTGTGATAGTCTACTGAGAATGATGATTTCCAATTTCATCCATGTCCCTGCAAAGGACATGAACTCATCATTTTTTATGGCTGCATAGTATTCCATGGTGTATATGTGCCACATTTTCTTCATCCAGTCTATCATTGTTGGACATTTGGGTTGGTTCCAAGTCTTTGCTATTGTGAATAGTGCCACAATAAACATACGTGTCCATGTGTCTTTATAGCAGCATGATTTATAGTCCTTTGGGTTTATACCCAGTAATGGGATGGCTGGGTCAAATGGTATTTCAAGCTCTAGATCCCTGAGGAATCGCCACACTGACTTCCACAATGGTTGAACTAGTTTACAGTCCCACCAACAGTGTAAAAGTGTTCCTATTTCTCCACATCCTCTCCAGCACCTGTTGTTTCCCGACTTTTTAATGATCGCCATTCTAACTGGTGTGAGATGGTATCTCATTGTGGTTTTGATTTGCATTTCTCTGATGGCCAGTCATGGTGAGCATTTTTTCATGTGTTTTTTGGCTGCATAAATGTCTTCTTTTGAGAAGTGTCTGTTCATGTCCTTTGCCCACTTTTTGATAGGATTGTTTGTTTTTTTCTTGTAAATTTGTTTGAGTTCATTGTAGATTCTGGATATTAGCCCTTTGTCAGATGAGTAGGTTGCGAAAATTTTCTCCCATTTTGTAGGTTGTCTGTTCACTCTGATGGTAGTTTCTTTTGCTGTGCAGAAGCTCTTTAGTTTAATTAGATCCCGTTTGTCAATTTTGGCTTTTGTTGCCGTTGCTTTTGGTGTTTTAGACATGAAGTCCTTGTCCATGCCTATGTCCTGAATGGTAATGCCTAGGTTTTCTTCTAGGGTTTTTATGGTTTTAGGTCTAACGTTTAAGTCTTTAATCCATCTCAAATTAATTTTTGTATAAGGTGTAAGGAAGGGATCCAGTTTCAGCTTTCTACCTATGGCTAGCCAGTTTTCCCAGCACCATTTATTAAATAGGGAATCCTTTCCCCATTGCTTGTTTTTCTCAGGTTTGTCAAAGATCACATAGTTGTAGATATGTGGCATTATTTCTGAGGGCTCTATTCTGTTCCATTGATCTATATCTCTGTTTTGGTACCAGTACCATGCTGTTTTGGTTACTGTAGCCTTGTAGTATAGTTTGAAGTCAGGCAGCATGATGCCTCCAGCTTTGTTCTTTTGGCTTAGGATTGACTTGGCAATGCAGGCTCTTTTTTGATTCCATATGAACTTTAAGGTAGTTTTTTCCAATTCTGTGAAGAAAGTCATTGGTAGCTTGATGGGGATGGCATTGAATCTATAAATTACCTTGGGCAGTATGGCCATTTTCACGATCTTGATTCTTCCTACCCATGAGCATGGAATGTTCTTCCATTTGTTTGTATCCTCTTTTATTTCATTGAGCAGTGGTTTGTAGTTCTCCTTGAAGAGGTCCTTCATATCCCTTGTAAGTTGGATTCCTAGGTATTTTATTCTCTTTGAAGCAATTGTGAATGGGAGTTCACTCATGATTTGGCTCTCTGTTTGTCTGTTATTGGTGTATAAGAATGCTTGTGATTTTTGTACATTGATTCTGTATCCTGAGACTTTGTAGAAGCTGCTTATCAGCTTAAGGAGATTTTGGGCTGAGACAATGGGGTTTTCTATATATACAATCATGTCATCTGCAAACAGGGACAATTTGACTTCCTCTTTTCCTAATTGAATACCCTTTATTTCCTTCTCCTGCCTAATTGCCCTGGCCAGAACTTCCAACACTATGTTGAATAGGAGTGGTGAAAGAGGGCATCCCTGTCTTGTGCCAGTTTTCAAAGGGAATGCTTCCAGTTTTTGCCCATTCAGTATGATACTGGCTGTGGGTTTGTTATAGATGGCTCTTATTATTTTGAGATACGTCCCATCAATGCCTAATTTATTGAGAGTTTTTAGCATGAAGCGTTGTTGAATTTTGTCAAAGGCCTTTTCTGCATCTATTGAGATAGTCGTCCGGTTTTTGTCTTTGGTTCTGTTTATATGATGGATTACATTTATTGATTTGCATATATTGAACCAGCCTTGCATCCCAGAGCCTGGGCAACTTCTAGAGAAAACAGATTTGTTTGCCTCACAGTTCTGCAGGCTGTACTGGAAGCATGGCACCAGCATCTGTTTCCTGTGACGGCCTCAGGCTGCTCCCACTCTGGCAGAAGGGAAGGAGGGTCTGTCTGTGCAGAGACCACAGAGATCACATGGCAAGAGAGGGAGCAAGGGGGAGGGCGAGCGATGGAGCTTCCAAGCTCTTTTTAACAACCAGCCCTCCGGGAACTAATAGAGGGGGAACTTGCTAACCCCATCATGTGGGGCAGCATTAATCTATTCATGATGGATCCACCTCCATGACTCAAACACCTTCCCATAGGCCCAAACTTCCACACTGGGGGTTAAATTTCAATATTTCAGTGTGAGGTTTCAAAGGGTCAAACATCTAAACTAAAGCAGCTGTATCCTCAGCATGTTCTATGGTTTCTATGAGAGCTGTAACTGAGAAAGCAGGAGAAAGCTGGGTCTCCCGCCATCAGGCTGCTTGTCCTAAGGAGATGTTCCATGTGGTTACCTGTCAATCAAGAAATGAGACAATCCATAAAGAGGAACTGCTATGATTAGCTTCTTATTGGATTCCCATCTTCCTCCAGGTATCTGCAGACACCTGCATGTTCTGATTGGGACCTCAGTGGTCATCTTCCTCTTCATCCTCCTCCTCTTCTTTCTCCTTTATCGCTGGTGCTCCAACAAAAAGAGTAAGTCTCACGAAGCAGAGGCCAGAGAGCTCAGGGCCATGTGGGGAAGCAGGATGGGAGCACGCGGGTGTGTGTTCCTCACTGGCAGGATGGTCCCTGGCCCAAGGGAGGAGCCACAGAGGCAGGGCTTTCTAGAGAGAGCACCAGACAACCTGCCCCTGCCTTCAGCTCACAGACCATTGCCTGGTTCTGAACTGTATCCTCACATCCCCTGCAGCCACTGACATCCAGAAGCTTCCATGACAGGCAGAAAGTGGGAGACAGAATCAATGGGATGCCAATTGAGAGCACTTCATGGGATGGGGTCTTGAACTCAGAGAGATAGAATGTCTGAGTCTGGATGTTGGCAGCTGAAGAGCCTCAGGCACCTACAGCCTCCCCCTGTGGGTTGGTGTCTGCCCATGAAATGAGGACCCAGAAGGGCCCTCCAAGCGGTTTTGATGACTTCCGTCTCCTACAGATGCTGCTGTAATGGACCAAGAGCCTGCGGGGGACAGAACAGTGAATAGGCAGGTAGGTCCTCCTCGGCCCAGCCTCACGGATACAGTCTTATCCCTAATAGTCCTGAAAAATGTGAGCACCCTCCCTCACTCAGCATTTCCCTCTCTCCAGGACTCTGATGAACAAGACCCTCAGGAGGTGACGTACGCACAGTTGGATCACTGCGTTTTCATACAGAGAAAAATCAGTCGCCCTTCTCAGAGGCCCAAGACACCCCTAACAGATACCAGCGTGTACACGGAACTTCCAAATGCTGAGCCCAGATCCAAAGTTGTCTCCTGCCCACGAGCACCACAGTCAGGTCTTGAGGGGGTTTTCTAGGGAGACAACAGCCCTGTCTCAAAACCAGGTTGCCAGATCCAATGAACCAGCAGCTGGAATCTGAAGGCATCAGTCTGCATCTTAGGGGATCGCTCTTCCTCACACCACGAATCTGAACATGCCTCTCTCTTGCTTACAAATGCCTAAGGTCGCCACTGCCTGCTGCAGAGAAAACACACTCCTTTGCTTAGCCCACAAGTATCTATTTCACTTGACCCCTGCCCACCTCTCCAACCTAACTGGCTTACTTCCTAGTCCTACTTGAGGCTGCAATCACACTGAGGAACTCACAATTCCAAACATACAAGAGGCTCCCTCTTAACACGGCACTTACACACTTGCTGTTCCACCTTCCCTCATGCTGTTCCACCTCCCCTCAGACTATCTTTCAGCCTTCTGTCATCAGTAAAATTTATAAATTTTTTTTATAACTTCAGTGTAGCTCTCTCCTCTTCAAATAAACATGTCTGCCCTCATGGTTTCGATAATGTGACTCTTTATTCGCCAAAAGTTTCCAGTGTTATCATTACTATGTCCATATAACCTGATATGTTCTCTACTGGGTTCTCAGCCCTGGACTCTGAGCTTCTGGAAGCAGGGTGGAGCCTCATTTGTCTCTGGGACTCCAATTTCCATCCAAAGATGCAGCACATAGGAGGTTCCAAGGATCGTGAATCACATGAACAAGTGATATTCTTACTCTCTGCAGACCTGGAAAGCTGGCAGAGTCATTCCAAGATGAAACATTTGTAGAGTCATAGGCCTTGTTAGTCTCATCTCCACAGGGACACATGTCAACACATCATCTTTCATACTATAAATATACAGTCGCTCCTCCATATCTGTGGGGTTTACAGGTGTTTATTGAACCAAATATAAATCAAAAATATTCAGAGAAAAAATCCACAAAGTTCCAAAAAGCAAAAATACTATATTGTGTGGACACAAGTGAGGTGGTGTGTAGGCTGTATCAGGAATTATAAGTAATCTAGAGATGATTTCATGTATACAGGAGGATGTGCATGGGTTATATGCAAACGCTGTGCCATTTCATGCAACAGGCTTGAGCATCTGCAGATTTTGGTGTCTGGTAGGGAGGGGGGTTTCCTGGAACCAATCACCCATGAATAGTGAAGGACAACTGTATATAATTTTCATTCATCAATTTTATAAATAAATCATCAAAATGTATGATAATAAGATAAAAAATTAGCAGTGTTTTTATGGTGTGAAAATAAGCTTAGATTTATTTTTTCCTGCTTGTAACCCTCTGGTCCAATGTTATTTACTGAGAAGACATTCTATTCCACCTTAATCCGCATGGCAGCCTCTGTCAACTATAAAAGGACTGTGTGTACACAGATGTATTTTACACACTCTTTTCTGCTCAGTGGCTCTCTGTGTCCACTCTCATGAGGATGCTGCACTTTATGTGGCCTTATAGAACCCCTTAAAATTTGGCAGCCTGAATCCTCTAATTTCTCCTTCCTCTTTAAGATTGCCATTATTATTATTATTGGCTATTTGCTTTTCCATGTAAATTTGTAATCATTTTTCTCATTTCCACCAAAAACAATGCTTGTAATTTTGTTGTGACTCCCTTACATCTACAGGTAAGTTCTGTCCTATAGAAACATAATGCAAACCACATGCATTCTTTCAAACTTGCTAGTATCCAAATTAAAAAGCTAACAAGAAACAGATAAAATTAATTTAAGTTAACCCAATGGACCCAAAATATTATTAACCCAACAGACCCAAAATATTAACCTAATAGATCCAAAATATTATTTTATTATACAAGTAGACTCAAAATATTATCATTTCAACATGTAATCATGTGTCATCTTGGAAAACATCAGATCCCTGTCTAGGTGGGCAAAGATTTTTCTTCGTAATATCTCATTTCCACATTTCCACTTGGCACAGAAACTGCCCCCAAGGCTCAGGATACTAAGATGCAGTAGGAATGGGTAGATGTATCTGGAGGAAAGTGACTGAATGAAATTGAGACATCAGAGTCTGGGAAACTCACTAGAACTACAGGGACAGTGTGGGGGAGGGAATTGGGAGATGTTGATCAAAGGATACAAACTATCAGGTATTCAGGAGGAATGGGTCTGAAGATCTCTTGTACAGCTTTGCCACTATGGTTGACAATACTGTACTCTATACTTGAAATTTACCAGGAAAGTAGATTTTTTTTTTTAAATATGGAACACTTCACGAATTTGCGTGTCATTCTTGCGCAGGGGCCATGCTAGTTTTCTCTGTATCGTTCCAATTTTAGTATATGTGCTGCCGAGGCAAGCATGGGAGAGTAGATTTTTTTTTTTTTTTTTTTTTTTTGAGCTGGAGTCTTGCTCTGTCACCCAGGCTGGAGTGCAGTGGCGCGATCTCGGCTCACCGCAAGCTCCGCCTCCTGGGTTCACGCCATTCTCCTGCCTCAGCCTCCCGAGTAGCTGGGACTACAGGCGCCCGCCACCACGCCCTGCTAATTTTTTGTATTTTTAGTAGAGACGGGGTTTCACTGTGTTAGCCAGGATGGTCTCGATCTCCTGACCTCGTGATCCGCCTGCCTCGGCCTCCCAAAGTACTGGGATTACAGGCATGAGCCACCACGCCCGGCTGGGAGAGTAGATCTTAAGGGTCCTCACCACAAAAAAAAAAAAAAGAAAGAAA